>NC_000017.11:1703232-1854747 GCF_000001405.40 Homo sapiens | reverse complement strand
ATATTTTATCCTAGTTTACACACTTTTAATTTTTTGCAGTGGGGAATAGCGGACACTTGCTGTGTTCCCAGGCTGGAGGGCAGTGGTGCCATCACAGCTGACTGCAGCCTCAACCTCCCAGGCTCAAGTAATCCCCCCACCTCATCCTCCCAAGTAGCTGAGACTACAGGTGTGAGCCACCACACCTGGCTAAGTTTTTAAAAAATTATTGCAGAGATGGGGTCTTCCTGTGTTACCCAGGCTGGTCTCGTCCTCCTGCACTCAAAGCAGTTCTTCCACCTCAGCCTCCTAAAGTGCAGGGATTACAGGTGTGAGGTACCGTACCTGGTTTCCTATTTTTAATATGTAATTTTAAAATTTCAATGTAATCAAATATTCATTGTGAATTATTCCAATCTATTTGTGCAGCCTCTTCCTCTTGATTTTTGATGGTTTCATTTTCTAACTTGAAAAAAATACATCTCAAATTTATTTTGGTGTCAAATGAGGCTTTTATGTTTTGACTTGGTGTAAGGGCAAACAATCCTTTCCTTTAATGGGGCCAGTGATTTGAAGATTCTTTTCGCCTTTCTCTAGAATTGTCTGAAGTAATGACTTTTTTTTCAGCTTCTTTTAGGATGCAAAGAAAAAATGGACTTTTTTTATTTCAATGTGCTTTTCTATACATTTTCATGAGAAAATTAAATCATTAGTAATTTCACCATCAAGAGATAATCACAGTAAAACAACGTTATATATTCAACTTGTTTCAACAAATACTTACTAAACGCCAGCCTCAAGTTAGGCACTAGAACAAACATGATCTCTACCTTCACACAGTTTACTCATGGCTTAGCAGTAAATAGAGATAATTCTAAAAGCTACCAGTGCAGTGAGTGTTATCACAGGAGTATAGACTGCATGCTTCACACTTTTTAAAAACAAAAGTGTACATAAGTCTTAGGAAAACACGTTTCTCATTAATATTACAGATATCCTGTAGTATCCTATATTACTGTGATATCCTAGATTTTTTTTTAGTCTAGTATAACTGAATCTTTGTCCATTACTTTCTTACTTTTTTTTGAGACAGAGTCTCACTCTGTTGCCCAGGCTGGAGTGCAGTGGCACGATCTCGGCTCACTGAAACCTCTGTCTCCTGGGTTCAAGCGATTTCCCTGCCTCAGCCTTCTGAGTAGCTAGGATTACAGGCGCAGGCCTCTATGCCTAGCTACTTTTTGTATTTTTAGTAGAGACGGAGTTTTGCCATGCTGGCCAGACTGGTCTCGAACTCCTGACGTCAAGTGATCTACCTGCTTTGGCCTCCCAAAGTGCTGGGATTACAGGTGTGAGCCACCGTGCACCCAACCCGTTTGTCCATTGCTTTCTAATTGTGCCCTTTCTTCATACATCATTTCTTTAGAACTGAAAAAGCCTGACAGAATAGCCTGGTTCCTAGACCTCAGAATCACTATCATTTTATTAACACTAACAAGTCAAACTGAATCCAAAAGGTAGAACTCCGAATATATAAAGAGGTATTCATTTGAGTGCTACAACCTACGCCAAAGCATTTTACCTTCATTATAGGGCACTGGATTGCCAATCTTCACTCCAACTGCTTCAGCTGACTTCAAAACTTCTAATTCCATCAAGATAACTACTCTCCTGCAAAAGCAGACAAACAGAAACAGGTTAGAAAAACAAATTCTGTTCAAATGATAAGCTACTCAAAATGCTTTCCCCGATGATCATTGTGATGAACTATTTTCCATTTGTCATCTGTTTACATAAATATTTCTCTTCATCTTTCGCCGCATCATTATCAAGTGATTGCAGGGTTTTCAGTTCCCAACTAGTTCCTTAATTAAAATGCAGTGTTCTCGCTACGCACCGTATCTTCAAGGAGCCAACCGACATGGTAAGAATTTAGATTACTAAACACAAGAATATATGGCATAAAAAGAGATGAACTGTTTTCAGAAACACATACTTATCTCAACAATGACTTTTTCCCAGTGAAAACCAATTATGACAATAGATATTTTAAAAAATGTAATAATGACCCATTTTTAAGAACTTACAGTTCTTTTGCTTTTTAACTCTAATTAAAACGTTGTGATAACTTCCCAATGACCTTAGGCCACAAAGAAAAACCTGGGCCATGGCTTGCCTGGCCTGGCCTTGCTAACCCCCCTCCCGTGCCGCTGCCTGCCCTCTGCCCTCTGCCCTCTGGCCTTCCTGTTTTCTTTCAGTTCCACCACATGGGACAGTCCCTCTTGCCACAAGGCCTTTGTCCGTGATGCTCTGAGATTGCGGTGTTGTGTTCCTTCTCATTTTGCCTCATCTAATACTCATTTTTTAGCTCTCGTCTCAAACATCACTTCAAGAGACACTTCCTTAATCTCTAGTTGAGATCAGGTTGCTTTGTTCTAGTCTTTCCTACAGCCTTGATTTCTTTCCTTCAGAACACTCTGCTCCGTCTTAATTATATGTTCATTAGTGATTATTTTATTATTCTCTCTCGCTCCTACTAGACTGTACTGTCAATAAAGACAGGTATCCCTCAGTGCTTAATGAAGCAAATGGCCCACAGTTGTTGCTCAATACATACTTGATGAGCATATCACAATGTCTGCATTTTAAAAAGAAGGAATTTAATGGGAACATGACTGGAGGCAGGGAGACCAAGAGAAGAGACAAAATGACAGAGGCCTGAATGAGGTTAGTGGCAAGGGAGCTGAAGAAACAGGCCTAGGGCAATATTTAAGCAATAATCTACCCAAATTCATCACGTTTTAGACTTTAAATGGTCTGACTGCTGTTTTTGGATTTTTACATACAATCAATCGTTTGTTTTAAATGGTCTGACTGCTATAATTTGGATTTTTACATACAATCAATCAGTGTGTGCTACCCTTATCAGGTTTCACATCAGAGTTTCAATAAGATAAGCCTGAAATTATCTGTTCCTGAAAATGGTATCTAGATTCCCTGTAATAACTATCTGATACTTAGTGGCAGATATTTAACTACTTTCCAAATTATACAAATCACTCCAGAACATATAAAAATAGAAGGCCTATGAATCATTTAGTATGACTCTAATACTAAAACCTAAGACAAAACACACACACAAAACCAAAACTAATTTCATCCTGCAATATCCCATAAATCCTAAATAAAATATCAGCAAGATGAACCTAGCAGCATATTAAAAGAATACACTAATATCAACTTACAGAGAATACAGATGACAAGGACACATTAAGTGACTTTACAGGGATGCAATCAGCCAAATCCAGACTGGGGGAAACTGCACAAGGTGAAGGATAAATGACCTGGTTTCTTCAGCAAATAAACAGTAAAGGAGAAAAAAGGCAGACGCAGAGCCTACAGATTCAGAGAGACTTAACAGACCATCAATCTACCGTCACAGGAAACTTATTTTGGATTCTGATTCATATAGATTGTGTGGGCACACACACACACACGCACACGCACATACACACGCACATATACAACAAGATGGAAATACAACACGGACGGTATTTTTTTAGGTGTGAAATGGGATAGTGTCTTTTTAAGAGTTTTTATCTTTCAAAAATACATACTAAAATATTTATGGATGAAATAATATGATGTCTGAGATTTACCTCAAAATTACAGAGGATAGTGGACGTTGAAAGGATGGAGCTAGAGCAAAACTGGACAACAGATGACAATTTGGAGCTGAATGATGGGCTATATGGGGATTCATCAGACTACTGTGTATTCTGTCTATGTTTGTAGATGTTTAAAGTTTTCCAGAAAAAAGATTTTTAAAAATAAAAAGAGAAAATTAGCAAGCTAAGATAATTCTTATTTTTTTTTTTGAGAGAGAGAGTCTCACTCTGTCACCCAGGCTGGAGCGCAGTGGCACAATCTCAGCTCACTGCAACCTCCGCCTCCCAGGTTCAAGCAATTTTCCTGCCTCGGCCTCTTGAGTAGCTGGGATTACAGGCACCCGCCACCACACCTAATTTTTGTATTTTTAGTAGAGACAGGGTTTCACCATGTTGGCCAGGCTGGTCTCGAACTCCCCATCTCAGGTGATCCACCTGCCTCAGCCTCCCAAAGTGCTGGGATTACAAGCATGAGCCACCAGCACAGCCTAGGATTTTTTTTTAAGGCAGGATTTATTGCAAGAATGAAACAAGAGTTGAATTATTAGGCAATCCTTTTTTTTTTTTGAGACGGAGTCTTGCTCTGTCACCCAGGCTAGAGTACAGTGGGGCAATCTCAACTCACTGCAACCTCCGCCTCCTGGTTTCAAGTGATTCTCTTGCCTCAGCCTCCCGAGTAGCTGGGACTATTAGGTGTGTGCCTCCATGCCTGGCTAATTTTTGTATTTTCAGTAGAGATGGTGTTTCACCATGTTGGCCAGCCAGGCTGGTCTTGAACTCCCCACCTCAGGTGATCCACCTGCATTGGCCTCCCAAGGTGCTGGGATTACAGGCGTGAGCCACCAGCCTAGCCCTAGGATTATTTTTTTAAGGCAGGATTTATCGCAAGAATGAAACAAGAGTTGAATATTAGGTAATCTTTTTTTTTTTTTGAGATGGAGTCTTGCCCTGTCGCCCAGGCTAGAGTGCAGTGGGGCGATCTCAACTCACTGCAACCTCCATCTCCCGGGTTCAAGTGATTCTCCTGCCTCAGTCCCCCGAGTAGCTGGGACTATAGGCATGTGCCACCACGCCTGGCTAATTTTTGTATTTTCAGTAGAGACAGGGTTTCACCATGTTGGCCAGGCTGGTCTCGAACTCCTGACCTCAAGTGATCCACCCACCTCGGCCTCCTAAAGTGTTGAGATTACAGGCATGAGCCACCACGTCCAGCCTAGATAATCTATTAAAATAGTTCATTAAATATGATCATATCAAGATGTAGTAAAAGCTTTGAAAGAATTTACGAGCCATTTCTGATGAAATCCTGAGGACTTAAAAAATAAAACCTGCACCTGGTAAACTGCGCGTTTTTCCACGATCAACACTGCATTGAACAGTGAAACCAAAAGCATTTCCATGAAAATCAGGCAACTGCTGACATTACCATCGTCCAACAAAGTTTTGACAGCGCTGTCAATACAGTAAAATTAAAAAAAAAAAAAACAAAATGACAAATATGAGAATAAGGAATGCCGGGTGCGGTGGCTCACGCCTGTAATCCCAGCACTTTGGGAGGCCGAGGTGGGCAGATCATGAGGTCAGGAGATCGAGATCATCCTGGCTAACACAGTGAAACCCCGTCTATACTAAAAATACAAAAAATTAGCCGGGCGTGGCGGTGGGCACCTGTAGTCCCAGCTACTGGGGAGGCTGAGGCAGGAGAATGGCGTGAACCCGGGAGGCGGAGCTTGCAGTGAGCCGAGATCGCACCACTGCACTCCAGCCTGAGAGACAGAGCGAGACTCCGTCTCAAAAAAAAAAAAAAAAAAAAAGAACAGCCAACAAAAATTTGGAGGGAAAAAGTAAAGAAAGACCTTGTCTATAAACTACTAAATAGTCTACAGAGAAGTTTAACTGAAACTCTATGGAGTGTAATTTGAAGTACTGGCAAGAACGGGGAGAAACTCCACACTCACGCGCTGTTGGCAGGGAGGTAAACTGGTGTACACACTTTGAACAATAGCCTCAAAAAGTTAACCATAAAATGACCATTTAGCCTAGCAATTCCTTTCCTAGACAGATTATCTATAAAAGAAATGGAAACGTCTGTCCACAAAAAACTTGTACACAAATGTTCATAGAATTATTAGTAATAGCAAGCAGGCAGAAATAATCCGAATGCCCATCAACTAACGAATAGATACACAAAATGTGATGTATCTAGACAACAGAGTATTATTCTGCCATAAAAAGGAACAGGCTGGGTGCGGTGGCTCACACCTGTAATCCTAGGACTTTGGGAGGCCGAGGTGGGTGGATCACAAGGTCAGGAGTTTAAGGCCAGCCTGGCCAAGATGGTGAAACCCCGTCTCTACTAAAAATACAAAAAAATTAGCCAGGCATGGTGGTGCACATCTGTAATCCCAGCTACCCAGGAGGCTGAGGCAGAGAATTGCTTGAACTCGGGAGGCAGAGGTTGTAGTGAGCCGAGATGGCACCATTGCACTCCAGCCTGGGCAAGAAAAACTTGTCACCCAGGATGGAGTACAATGGCGCAATCTTGACTCACTGCAACTTCTGCCTCCCGGGTTGAAGCAATTCTCCTGCCTCAGCCTCCCGAGTAGCTGGGATTACAGGCATGTGCCACCATGCCCGGCTGATTTTTGTATTTTTAGTAGAGACGGGTTTCACCATGTTGACCAGGCTGGTCTCAAACTCCTGACCTCAGGTGATCTGCCTGCCTCAGCCTCCCAAAGTGCTGGGATTACAGGCATGAGCCACCGTGCCTGGCTGATAATTATTCTTTAAAATATGACTAATACACAGTATGTTGACAAGCTTAATGGCAAACACTTCTTTTTAAATAACATGTTTATTGAGATATCATTCACGTACCATAATGAACTCACCCTTCCAGAGTGGATAATCCTATGGGTTTTGCATTTTGCAGTTATGCAAGCATCACCACTACCTCACTTTAGAACACTGTTGTCATCAGCAAAAGAAACCATGTGTACAATGACAGTCACTCCACACTCTACCACCCCTGAGAACCAGTCATTGAATTTGTTTCTATGGATTTGTCTATTCAGAGATACGCTTTTTTTTTTTGGAGATGGGGTCTTGCTCTGTAACCGAGGCTGGAGTCTCGGCTCACTGCAACCTCCGCCTCTTGGGTTCAAGCGATTCTCCTGCCTCAGCCTCCTGAGTAGCTGAGATTACAGGCCGCACCCGCCACCACGCCCAGCTAATTTGTGTATTTTTAGTAGAGATGGGGTTTCACCATGTTGGCCAGGCTGGTTTCGATCTCCTGTCCTTGTGATCTGCCCCGCCTCAGCCTCTCAAAGTGCTGGGATTACAGGCCTGAGCCACTGTGCCTGGCCAATAGATACTCTTATATAACATTTATGAGTATAATTAGTATACTTTCCACAGATGTCCGTTGACCCCACAATACAAATTCTAATGATCTGTTATTCAGAAATAAAAGCATAAACACGTTAAGATAAAGTACAAGGATGACTGCTCAAGTCCTGTTTAGAATAAACCTGAATGATCACCAAAAAAGCAAGGAGTAAATAAACCCAGCCGCACACACAGGCTCTCAGCAGAGGTACAAAAGAATATGAGGCAAGCCTGCAAGCTGAGGC
The DNA here is from genome assembly GCF_000001405.40 of Homo sapiens. Lineage (NCBI taxonomy): Eukaryota > Metazoa > Chordata > Mammalia > Primates > Hominidae > Homo > Homo sapiens. Next base: position 1,847,471 of record NC_000017.11, on the reverse strand, counting down.
AGTGCCATCAGGCAAAGCCCAGGGGAGTGGAGCTGTCTCCGTGACTGGAGAGAGTGGGCTGTGAAGTTTCCCAGCAAGGACTGCACTCAATCCCAGCAACACTTCCACCCTCTCCCACAACCATGCCCTGGAGGACAGAAAAGTGGCTGCAAAACACCACTTAAGCGCTCCAAGATAGCCTGGAGTGGAAGATAAAAGGTCCCAAGTGAGAAGGTTGGCAACATGTACCTAGCCTAGACTATGTCAGAGCAAATACCAAGTCTGGACAGGACTGTCCACATTAAGCATGAACAAAATAAAAAGGGATGATGACAAAGCAACAATACAATACACAACAATGCATAAAAGGGAAAGCAACAGGGAGGCAAAGCCGATTAAAGAACCCACTCTGGAAGAAAGTACAAGCCAAGAAAAGGAGTGACACTTCCCAAAAGCGATTGGCAAAATAAGTACGACTATATGAATCCAACAAATTAACAGTCAAAAGATGAGCTAAAACAAGAGACTAAGAAGAAAAGGGAGCTTGAACAGCTAAGAAAAAAACAGAACAAAATCAATACTATTATACATCTAATAATTTATAAAGATTGAGGAGTAGAAGAGAGAAAACTAAAAACTGTACTATTACGTTGGAAAACCTCGAAGCAAGCCAATGCATCCATCAGAAAAAAGGTTAAAGTAAAGACCTATGCGGAGATCAAAGTTATCTACAACGTATGTAAAAAACTGGAACTCAATAAGTGAAATAGAAAACAACATTAAGGAATAACACACAGAAAAACTTCGTTGAAAAGAACTGAATCGGCAGACTGAACAAGCATACCACATACCAGAAGAAAAAAGAATATGGACGGCCGGCCACGGTGGCTCACGCCTGTAATCCCAGCACTTTGGGAGGCTGAGGCAGGTGGATCACGAGGTCAGGAGATCGAGACCATCCTGGCTAACATGGTGAAACCCCGTCTCTACTAAAAATACAAAACAAAATTAGCCAGGCGTGGTGGTGGGCGCCTGTAGTCCCAGCTACTCGGGAGGCTGAGGTGGGAGAATCACCTGAGCCCGGGAGGTCAAGGCTACAGTGAGCCCTGATGGTGCCACTGCACTCCCGCCTGGGCAACCAGAGTGAGGCCTCAGGAGAAAAAAAAAAAAAAAAAAAAAAAGCAAAGCTTCCTACAAGGGAAGAAATCAAACCAGGCTGGCCTTAAGACTTCTCCAGATCAACATTCAATGCCAGAAGACAAAATTCTGAGGGTAAAGCCACATAACCTAACAATAGACAGCCAGGCAAGTGGTCATTCTAGCATAAAGACCAACAGGCTGATAATGGGGAAGACGGCACTAAAGAGCCAGTCCAGAAAAAAGTTATTGAGTGAAATCCAACCAACACAGAGATAAAGAGGTAGGAAAAAAGAACAGCTGGAGAAAATGTAAGAGTCCTAAAATCAGTATAACAGAATTTAAAAAACTAATTACTTAAACCTCTTAGTATTGTTATCATTTTTTATCTCGGTTTTTGTTGTTGTTGTTTTGGTCTTTTTTGAGACAGGGTCTTACTCTCCTGCCCAGCCTGGAGTGCAGTGGCGTGATCTCAGCTCACTGCAACCTTCACCTCTCAGGGCTCAGGCCACTCTCTCTCCTCAGCCTTCCGAGTAGCTGGGACCACAGGCACATGTCATAACGCCCAGCTAACTTTTCCTTTTTTTCGTAGAGACAAGGTCTCACCATATTGTCCAGGCTGGTTGCAAACTCCTGGGCTCAAGTGATCCTCCCTACCTGGTCTCCCAAAGTGTTGGCATGACAGGTGTGAGCCACTGCACCTTGCCTGAAATCAGTCATGTTTTAGCAATGAGAGTAACAGTTCTGTTCATCACTGTATCTCTAGCATGCAGTAACTTGTCCGTGTACAACACATTCTTTTTTTAAATTTATTTTTTTAGAGATGGCCTCTTGCTGTGCTGCCCAGGCTGAAGTGCGGCGGTGCAATCACAGCTCACTGCAGTCTCAAACTCCTGGGGTTAGGGAATCCTCCCACTTCAGCCTCCCATGTAGCTAGGACTGTAGCGTGTGCCGCCACACCTCACTAATTTAACTTTTTTTTTTTTGTAGAGACAGGGCCTGGCTATGTCACCCAGGCTGGTCTCAAACTCCTGGCCTCAAGCAATCCTCCCACCTTAGCACCACAAAGCGCTGGGATTACAGGCATGAGCCACCACATGTGGTTCAATGTATTCTATATTGGCTAAATATAGCATTTAATATAAAAGATTCAAGATTGTACACACACACACACACACACACACACACACACAAAGCAGCATTACAAAATAATTATCATTTTCTGCTGTAAAATAAAGTACCTCTTTTCATTAAAAGATACTTTTGAGGCCGGGCATGATGGCTCGCACCTGTAATCCCAGCACTTTGGGAGGCTGAGGTGGGCAGATTGCCTGATCTCAGGAGTTCGAGACCAGCCTGGGCAACATGGCAAAACCCCGTTTCTACCAAAAACAAACAAAAGAGATAAGATTCTTTTGGGGGAAATCCTAAAAATGCTGCTTCTGAAGAAATTAGAAATAACAAGATTTCTGCATTCTACTTTAATCTTCTGCTCTGAAATTTCCAACTTGTTTCCATGTTTCTCCTCCTTGGGTGCCATGTGTTAGCTACCTGAGTTCTTAACTGAAAAGCTGCAGATTCTTAGCTGAAAACTCACTATTGCCTTTTTTATTCCTAAATTTGTTCCCATTCTACGATACAATAAGACAGAAAAAAACACAGCACATACCTTCCGTCTTTCAGAGTGTTCACAATAAATCTGTGAATCTGGCATACACAGTTGCTGGACAATTGTTCTTCCTCCACGAGAGGGTTCAACTGTGTCGCCAACATGAAAGCTGAAAACCACAGAGATTTCTTTAGCCTCCAAAATCCTGCAGTCTTAAGCCTCTGAGAGCTACTCATACCTGTGCTAGCAAAGAAAAATGCCTTACATATGCTCCTGAAATTAAAACTAGTCAGACTCTGCAGAGTGAAAAACTGTGTATTTTGCTGCCTGTTAAACATTTGCTGCTACTCTTAAATGTGTGAATTTGTTAAAGTGGCCAAAATCATTTAAAAATTCTCTCCTTTCTCCCCTTTACAGCTTCCAACACAGAAATAAAACCCCAGAAAAGGAAAGTATAGGGCAGCTGACCCCTCGCACTCAGTCGATGTCAATATCATCCTTAGGGAAATTAATCAGAGAAAACACAGAACACCAGTTAGGGAAAATTAATTAAGCCAAGTGGCAGCTTTCCACTACCTCCAGTCTATTGTTAGAATGCTCTCTGACAGCTGCAATTCTGTCTGAATGAAGTACGTAGCCAAGCAAGTACGGACTTCACGAATGCCCCCAAATTATGGCAACCAAAGGACCAGGTGTGCTTCTACTATTTAAATACTCACACATTTCTAGATGGATACACCATACTCACAGGATAGAGTGTTCAATCCATCACTCATGAGCAGTCGATAACGCGGCGGACTATTCCCCGTAGTAATGGGACGGATGTTCTAGGACAGAAAACTTGATTCATTAGCCAGGTTGTCTGCCCCGTCCCCAGGGATACGTAAACCGAAGTGGCAGGAGAGTGGGTTTGCCATTAGTTCAACACAAACTGTTTGCCCATTCTCTTGACACTTAAATCCAAGTAAAAGAAAACTGGATTTGATGATTTTCCCACTAACCTCCCTCCACTAACATTATTAAACACAACAGAGAGGGAAGTAAAACGAGCTGCCTATACTCTTGTGTTCTCACCCCTGACTCAAATATGGTTAAAAATCAATTACCAAAATAATAATAATAATAATAATAATAATAATAATAATAATGAAGCACCCAATATACACAAGGTGCTGTGTAGGAAACATGCTAAAAATACAAAATGAATAAAAAGAATCCTTGTCCTGAAGGAGCTAACAACTGGGGTGGAGATGGAGGCAGAGAGACGTAAGTGATGTGTCCGTGATCAGGCGGCAGAGCCGGGACCTTTATCCCCACCTGAGAGAGAGCAGAGGCAGGTTTCCAAAGCAAGTGACACCTGTACCCAGAGCCCCAAGCTGACCCACGGCGCGTGTGGTGCAGCAGAGAGACCCATCAGACCGGCCGACTGAAAACCTGCAGGGGTGAGCCCACCATTCTGCTTCTATTTTTCAAAACTCCCACTGAAGTTTGAGAACCCCTTAAATAAATGATGTGTTAACTGAAGAATGTAAAAGAGACAAGTTCATACTAGATATATTTCTGGAGGTCATATGAAAGGCCAATGTGAACAAGACAAACCCAAGGGCAGGAAAGGCAAGTAGCTCCACAGTCATCTATCAACAGTGGGGAGGAAGAGAGAGGCAAAGCCTTCAGTCTGAATCTCCAAAGACAGTAGAACTTAGCAGCTCACGTAGTAACATTTTCAAAAAGCCTGGCTGCTCTCTCAGGGTTACAATGTAGACTGGCCTATTTTTTGTGACTGGGGGTGAATTTCCGAAAGTGGACAAATCTGTCTGTCCTTCATCAAACGTAACTTGTAATTCGATGACTCCAAAGAAGTTGACATGGAACATAACATACGCAGGTACTTACGATGACTTGGAGGATGGGCTTTATGTTTGTATCCCCCTTCTGCATGATGGCCTGAGGGAGTAAAAACAGGTTTGTGTGAGATACGCACTCAAATCATGATGAAAATGACATGTTTTTATAGTTGGTATTTGGAATATATAGATAAGATTGTTAAAAGAGCCTATTCAGAGCCTGTCAGCTGAAGCATCTAGTTTATCACTCTGGACAAATCATAAAATGATAAGAGGGAGATACGTGTTTTACAAGGAAACACTTAGCACATCTCTAGCACCGGTATCCCATATGTACTCGTTATTCTTAACAGCCATTCATTTCCCTCTAGTGCTCATTAACAGGGAATTAGATAAATAAATCCTATATACATTAAAGAGATAATAAGGGAGTATTAGGAACAACTTTATTAAACAACCAAGATAAAGTGGATAAATCCCTCAAAAAATACAAATTATCAAAACTGATACAAAAGAAAATCTATATAGCTCTATGTCTATTAAAGAAATTGAATTTATAATTCTAAATATTCCAAAAGAGAACCCTCTAGGTCCAGATGGCTTTATTGGTGAATCCTATCTAACATTTAAGAACAAACAAACAAAAAAACTTGCATAAATTATTTCAGAAAATAGAAAAGACAATACTTTCTTTCCAAGTCATTTTATGATGTTAGGTTTACTACGACAGAAAAAAAAACAAAGACCACCCCATGCAGAGGTTCATGCCTATAATCCTAGCACTTTGGGAGGCCGAGGTGGGAGGACTGCTTTGAGCCCAAGAGTTCAAGACCAGCCTAAGCAACATAGCGAGACTCTGTTTAAAAAAAAGAATCTTCAACAAAATAATAGCAAATCAAATCCAGCACTATATAAAATGGATAATATGTCATGACATATTATCCAAGTGTGATTTATCCAAGGAAGGCAAGGTTTACTCAACATCTGAAAAATCAATGTAATTTGTCACATTCAAAGAATAGAGAAAAATCATCATCAACTGAATAGATACGGAAAAGGCAACACTTACTCATTATAAAGTCTCAGCAAACTAGGCATAGAAGTAATGCTTAAACTGATAGCTGACGTCTACAAAAAAAATCTACGGTTACCATCACACTTAACAGTAAAAGACAATAATATGCTACTAAGATTGGGAATAAGGCAAGGATATACCTCTTAACACCTTTATTCAATGTGGTATTAGAGGTTCTAACTAATGCAATAGGGCAAGGGAAAAAAAGTCATAAAGATTAAAAAGGAACTGGCTGGGCAAGGTGGCTTGTAATCCCAGCACTTCGGGAGGCTGTGGCGGGCAAATCACTTGAGCTCAGGAGTTTGAGACCAGCCTGGCCAACATGGTGAAACCCTGTTTCCATCAAAAATTTAAAAATTAGCTGGGCGTGGTGGCGCATGCCTGTAATCCCAGCTGCTGGGGAGGCTGAGACAGGAGAATCGCTTGAACCCAGGAGGCGGAGGTTGCAGGGAGCTGAGATCGCACCACTGCACTCCAGCCTGGGCGACAGAGTGAGGCTCCCTCTCAAAATAAAAAATAAAAAGATTAAAAAGGAACAGATAAAACTTCCTTTATTTGTAGACAATATGATCGTTTACATAGAAAATCCTAAGGTATCTATAAAAACTAGTAAGTTGATTTAGCAAGTTTGCAGGACACAAGGCTGGTGTGGAATAATCACTTGTATTTCAATATACTAGCAATAAACAACTGAAGAATGAAATTTTCAAAAATGCCACTTAAACACCATCAAAAGAACTTTCTTTATTTTATTTTATTTTTTTTGAGACGGAGTTTCGCTCTGTCGTGCTAGAGCGTGGTGGTGCAATCTCAGCTCACTGCAACCTCTAATGCCCGGGTTCAAGCAATTCTCCTGCTGCAGCCTCCCGCGTAGCTGGGGTTACAGGCATGCACCACCACACCTGGCTAATTTTTGTATTTTTAGTAGAGACAGGGTTTCACTACGTTGGCCAGGCTGGTCTCAAACTCCTGACCTCTGGTGATCTGCCCGCCTCAGCCTCCCAAAAAGTGCTGGGATTACAGGCGTGAGCCACCGTGCCAGGCTTCAAAAGTAAATTATTTAGGGATATATTTAACAGTATACATATGTAAGAACTGCACACCGAAAACTACCAACAAGGCTGCAAACGGCGGCTCTTGCCTATAATCCCAGCATTTCGGAGACGGAAGCAGGAGGATCGCTTGAGCTCAGGAGTTCGAGACCAGTCGGGGCAACAGAAGGAGACCTGTCTCTATAAAAAATTAGCCAGGTGGTGGCTCACGCCTGTAATCCTAGCACTTTGGGAGGCCAAGGTGGGAGGATCACGAGGTCAGGAGATTGAGACCATCCCGGCTAACACGGTGAAACCCTGTCTCTGCTAAAAATATAAAAAATTAACCGGGCGTGGTGGGACGTGCCTGTAGTCCCAGCTATTTGGGAGGCTGAGGCAGGAGAATTGCTTGAACCTGGGAGGCGGAGGTTGCAGTGAGCTGAGATCGCGCCACTGCACTCCAACCTGGGCAGCACAGAAAGAATCCATCTCAAAAAAAATTAGCCAGGTATGTGGTGCACACCTGTAGTCCCAGCTACTCAGAAAGCTGAGGAAGAATCACTCGAGCCCAGGAGGTCTAGGCTGTAGTGAGCTGTGATTGCACCACTGCACTCCAGCCTGGGTGACAAAGCATGACCCTGTCTCAAAACAAACAAACAAACGTCTGTTTTCATTTTCTTTTTCTTTTTTTTTATTGTACTTTGTTTCTCTATACTTCAGTGTATGCAAAGGGATCAGCACTTTGGGAGGCTGAGACAGGAGGATCGCTTGAGGTCAGGAGTTCGAGACCAACCTGGCCAACATGGTGAAACCCCGTCTCTACAAAAAATACAAAAAGTAGTTGGGTGTGGTGGCACATGCCTATAGTCCCAGCTACTCGAGAGGCTGAGGCAGGAGGATTGTTTGCATCTGGGAAGCAGAGGCTGCAGTAAGGTGAGATGGCACCACTGTACTCTACCTGAGTGATAGTAAAGCCCTGTCTCAAAAAAAAAAAAAAAAAAAAAAAAACTAGCTGGGCGCAGTCGTCCCAGCTACTCAGAGGGTGAGGAGGGAGGATCACTTGAGCCAGGGAGATAAAGCTGCAGTAAACTATGATCATGTATGTCACTGCACTCCAGCTTGGATGACTAAGTGAGATCCTGTCTCAAAAAAAAAAAAAAATGAAGCTAGAGGCCAGGCACGGTGGCTCACGCCTGTACTCCCAGCATTTTGGGAGCCCAAGGCAGGTGGATCACATGAGGTTGGGAGATCAAGACTAGCCCAGCCAGCATAGTGAAACCCCGTCTCTACTAAAAATATAAAAATTGGCTGGGTGTGGTGGCGGGCACCTGTAATCCCAGCTATTCAGGAGGCTGAGGTAGGAGAATCGCTTGAACCCGAGAGGTGGAGGTTGCAGTGAGCCGAGATCTCACCACTGCACTCCAGCCTGGCGACAGAGCTAGACTCCATCTCAAAAAAAATAAAAAATAAAAAATAAAAATGAAGCTGGAGAATTTACAATGCCAGATTTCAAGATTTACTATAAATCTTCAATGTTTATGATGATGTGGTATTGACATAAGCACCAACATAGAAATCAATTGACATTCCAGAAACAGATACACATATACAGTCCATTGATTTTATATAAAGTGACTAAGGGGCCGGGCGCAGTGGCTCACGCCTGTAATCCCAGCACTTTGGGAGGCCGAGGCAGGTGGATCACGACGAGGTCAGGAGATTGGGACCATCCCGGCTAACACGGTGAAATACCGTCTCTACTAAAAATACAAAAAAAAATTAGCCGGGCATGGTGGCGGGTGCCTGTAGTCCCAGCTACTCGGGAGGCTGAGGCAGGAGAATGCTGTGAATCCGGGAGGTGGAGCTTGCAGTGAGCCGAGATCGTGCCACTGCACTCCAGCCTGGGTGACAGAGCGAGGCTCCATCTCAAAAATAAAAAATTAAAAAAATAAATAAATAAAGTGACTAAGTAACTCAATGAAATGGGATAGTGTTTTCAATAAACAGGGCTGGAACAACTGAATATCTGTATTTAAAAAAGAGCTATATATCATAGATAAAATAGTAAACTTGAAATGCATTACAGACCACAAGGCAAAGCGAAAACTATAAAACTTCTGGAAGAAAACACAGCATAAAAGATTTGTGACCTTGGGTCGGGTAGGCAAAGATTTCTTTTTTTTTTTTTTTTTTGAGACTGAGTTTCACTCTTGTTGCCCAGGCTGAAGTGCAATGGTGCGATCTTGGCTCACCACAACCTCCACCTCCTGGGTTCAAGTAATTCTCCTGACTCAGCCTCCTGAGTAGCTGAGGTTACAGGCATGCGCCACCACGCCCGGCTAATTTTGTATTTTTAGTAGAGACGGGATTTCTCCATGTTGGTCAGGCTGGTCTCGAACTCCTGACCTCAGGTGTTCTGCCCGGCTTTGCCTCCCAAAGTGCTGGGATTACAGGCGTTAGCCACTGCACCCTGCTGTTTTTATTTTATTTATTTAATTATTTTTTTGAGACGGAGTTTTGCTCTGTTGCCCAGGCTGGAGTGCAGTGGTGCGATCTTGGCTCACTACAAGCTCCGCCTCCCGGGTTCACGCCATTCTCCCGCCTCAGCCTCCCGAGTAGCTGGGACTACAGGTGCCTGCCACCACGCCCAGCTAATTTTGTATTTTTAGTAGAGACGGGATTTCTCCATGTTGGCCAGGTTGGTCTCGAACTCTCGACCTCAGGTGATCCGCCCGCCTCAGCCTCCCAAAGTGCTGGGATTACAGGCATGAGCCACCACATCCAGCCTAGCAAAGATTTCTTAGGACACACAAACACAACTCTGCAAAAAACAAAACAAAAACAAACAAAAAAACACAACCTGATAACTTGGACTTCATGAAAATTTAAAAGTGCACTTCAAAAAAAACAAAATTTCAAAAAAGAAAAGGCAAGTCACAGATTGGGAAAAAATATATGTAATATTTATATTTAACAAAAGACCTAGCAAGAATCAAGAATTCTCACAACTCATTAATAAGCACAAAACCCAATTTTTAGGTGAACAAAAGATGTGAACAGACACTTCTTTCGTGAAGATATACAAATGGCCAGTAAGCCCACGAAAAGATGCTCAACGTCACTAGCCACCAGAGAAATACAAATAAAAGCACAGTGAGATACCATTACACATTCACTAGAATACTCGAAATCAAAGACTGATGACTGGCAAGGATATGGAGCAACTAGAATTCTCATGATCACACTGGAAAAGGTTGGCGATTTCTTTTACACATTCAGTTACCTGTGACCCAGCAATTACATTCCTAGATATTTATCCCAGAGAAACGAAAACATATTTCCACAAAAAGAGTTGTACTTAAATGGTCATAGCATCTTCATTTATAATAGCCAAAAGATGAAAATAACCCAAATGTGCAATAATAAGTAAATAAACAAATTTTGTTATAGTCATACAATGGAATACTACTGAGCCATAAAAAGGTGCAGATTACTGAATTAACATGGGTAAATCTCAAAAACCATTTTGGTCCACAGTGGTGGCTTGTGCCTGTAACCCCAACACTTTGGGAGGCCAAGGTGGGAGGATCACTTGAGCCCAGGAGTTCAAGATCATCCTGGACAACACACCAAGACTCCATCGCTACAAAAAATATTTTTAGGCCGGGCGTGGTGGCTCACACCTGTAATCCCAGCACTTTGGGAGGCTGAGGCGGGTGGATCACGAGGTCAAGAGATCGAGACCATCCTGACCACCGTGGTGAAGCCCCGTCTCTACTAAAAATACAAAAATTAGCTGGGGATGGTGGCATGCGGCTGTAATCCCAGCTACTCGGGAGGCTGAGGGAAGAGAATCGCTTCAACCCAGGAGGCAGAGGTTGCAGTGAGCTGAGATTGCGCCACTGCACTCCAGTCTGGCAACAGAGCAAGACTGTGTCTCAAAAAAAAAAAAAAAAATTTTTTTTTAATTAGCCAAGAGTGGTGGCATGCACTTGTAGTCCCAGCTACTCAGGAGGCTGAGGTGCGAGGATCTCTTGAGTTCAGGAGGTCAAGGCTGGAGTGAGCCATGACTGTGTCGCTGCACTCCAGCCTGGGTGACAGAGACCCTACCTCTGGGGAAAAAAAAAAAACTGCTGAAAGAAGCCAGACACAAAAGGATAGATATTATTTGATTCCATTTATATGAAGTCTTAGGAAAGGCAAAACTAACCTACAAAGGTAGAAACCAGAACACTGGTTGCCTAGGGTGAGGATGGAGGTGGGGAAGGAGCAAGAGGAGTTGTGCGTTGATGGAAGTATTCTATATCTCCACAGGGGCAATGTGGTTACAGGGGTGCGCACATTTGTCAAAGTTCATCAAGCTGTACATTTAAAATACGTGCAATTTGGCCGGGCATGGTGGCTTATGCCTGTAATCCCAGCACTTTGGAAGGCCAAGGCAGGAGGAGCATCTGAGGTCAGGAGTTCGAGACCAGCCTGGCCAACATAGTGAAACCCCATCACTATTAAAAATACAAAAATTAGCCAGGTGGTGGCGTGCACCTGTAACCCCAATTACTAAGGAGACTGAGGCATGAGAACTGCTTGAACCTGGGAGGCAGAGGTTGCAGTGAGCTGAGATCACGCCACTGCACTCCAGGGTGACAGGAGGAAACTCTGCCTCAAATAAATAAATAAATAAATAAAAAAGGTGCAATTTACTATACGTAAGCAAAATGTCAATGACAGTGATTTTTCTAAAAAGCAGTTATTCTGGGGAACAGTACTGGACAAGGTAAGGCAGGAGGTCAGTAATTACATTAAACACCTCTTTCTTTCTTCTTTCTAAATGAAATAGAGACAGGATCTTGCTATGTTGCCCAGCCTGGTATCAAACTCTTTCTTGGCCTCAAGGGATCCTCCTGCATTAGCCTCCCCAAGTGCTGAGAGTACACATGTGAGCCACCATGCCCGGCCATGAACACCTTTCTGTTCCGTTTGATTTTAAAACCACGTGCATGTATGAGGGGGATTCAAAAAGTACACGAAAAATGTGCATTATGAAAAAACTATGCATGCATTTCAAAAATTTTTTTTGCACTAAAATAAACTCATACTAACTTGTTATAACATGTCTGAACAAGACCTAGTTTGAGGTACTAAGAAGGATAAGACATCAGTTTGAAAAGAGCCCCTATCAGAGCAACATGAATTCTGCTAAAATGGAAACAACAACAAACAACAAATTCAAGGGGAAGGTTGGGTGGAAGAAGGATGAGATCACTTATGAAAGAAAAGTATATGGGGACGATGCTCCAAAGAAATCAGCTGTTTACAAATGTAACTCATTTTAAGGGACAAGGCCAGGCACAGTGGCTCATGCCTATAATCCCAAAGACTTGGGAGGCAAGGCAGGAGAACTGTTTGGAGACCAAGAGTTAGAGACCAGCTTAGGCAAGATGGCGAAACCCCATCTCTACACAAAATTAAAAAAAAAAAAAATTAGCTGGGCATGGTGGCATGCACCTGTACTCCCAGCTACTGGAGAGGTTGAGGTGGAAGGATCACTTGAGCCCAGGAGTTGGAGGTTGCAGTGAGCTATGATCATGCCACTGCACTCCAGCCTGAGAGACAAAGAACAAGACTCTGTCATTTAAAAAAAATTACGGCCAGGTGCAATGGCTCAAGTCTGTAATCCCAGGACTTGGGGAAGCCGAGGCGGCAGATCACTTGAGGCCAGGGGTTCAAGACCAGCCTGGACAACATGACGAAACCTCATCTCTACTAAAAATACAAAAATTAGCTGGGCGTGGTGGCGCACGTCTGTAATCGAGAGACAGAGGCAAAAGAATCACTTGAACCTGGGAGGTGAAGGTTGCAGTGAGCTGAGATTGTGCTTCTGCACCCCAGCCTGGGCAACAGAGTGAGACCCTTTAAAAAAAAAATCCCTAGTAAGTATATAAAGCAACAAATGTAATACTCAAGGGCACATGTGTTCAAATCTTCACCCCATGGACACATTATTCAACCTCTCTGTACTTCCTTCCTCTGTAAAATGGGAGTATAATAGCTATCTTCTAGGGTTACTTAAGTACTGACTACTAAAGCATCTGTCACATTAGAAATAGTCAAAAACATTAGTTCCCTTCCCCTTTCGTTATATAATTAAGATACAAATGCTATGTATTCTGTTGACCACAAGAGTTCTATGCATCATCTCTTATTTTATCATGTGACTCTTGCCCAAACGCCTTCACATGTGTGTGGTATTTGCGTACCCTTTGTGGCCTGTGTCTTTTGAACGAAAATGATACCTGCTTTAGCTGATAATGAAAGTCAGCAAAGGTTCTCCAACTCATTCCATCACCACAAACACATGTGAAACTTTCATTCTTCATTTATGAACAAAATACTTCACCTACGCTGGAAATAGGTTTATAAAATTTTGAATATAAAAACATGGCCAGGTGCAGTGGCTCACATCTATAATCACAGCACTTTGGGAAGCTGAGGCGAGAGGATCGCTTAAGCCCAGGAGTTTGAGACTAGCATGGGCAACAGAGTGAGACCCCATCTCTAAAAAATAAAAAAACTTATCAAATTATTTAAATATCTCCATGATCATTCTTTATTTTTTTTTGAGACAGTCTCACTCTGTCGCCCAGTCTGGAATGCACTGGTGCAATCTCGGCTCACTGCAACCTCTGCCTCACGGGTTCAAGCAATTATCCTGCCTCAGGCTCTCAAGCAGCAGGGATTACAGGCACACGCCAACACACCCAGCTAATTTTGTATTTTTAGTAGACCAGGGTTTCCCCATGTTGGCCAGGCTGATCTCGAACTCCTGACCTCAAGTGATCCACCTGCCTTGGCCTCCTAAAGTGCTTAGATTACAGGCATGAGCCACTGCGCCTGGCCCATGATCAGTCTTTTTAAAAGTGAAGAACCATTCTTTTCTTTTTTTCTTTTGAGATGGAGTTTTGCTCTTGTTGCTGGAGTGCAATGGTGCGATCTTGGCTTACCGGAACCTCTATCTCCCGGGTTCAAGAGATTCTCCTGCCTCAGCCTCCCAAGTAGCTGGGATTCCAGGCATGCGCCCCCACACCTGGCTAATTTTGTATTTCTAATAGAGACAGAGTTTCTCCATGTTGGCCAAGCTGGTCTCAAACTCCCAATCTCAGGTGATCTGCCTGCCTTGGCTTCCCAAAATGCTGGGATTACAGGCGTGAGCCACTGCGCCTGGCCTAGAAACATTCTTAATTTGTCTTAAAGACACAAGGTAGCAGCTATAAAGTAAATGAAAGCTACAATTTAAAATCACTTCCCCGGTTTCAGCATTCACACATTCCTAATTTATTTAAATATTCACTTGAGTCCAACAATAGTTCTTCCTGTTCCTGTTTTTCCCCCAAGCTGCCTTTCTTCCCCATTCACCTGTCCCTTTCTTCCCACTGCCTCATTCATTCATGCAACTAGCAAGCATTTATTCAGCACCTAAAACTTGCCAGCACTTCTCCAGGTATTGGGGATACAATGCAGAGTAAAATAACCCAGACATGATTGCAGGCCTCATGGAATTTACACAAAGTATTAGGCCAGGCACAGTGGCTCAAGCCTGTGATCCCAGCATACTGGGAGGCCAAGGTGGGTGGATCTCGAGGCCAGGAGTTCAAGACCAGCCTGGCCTACATGGCGAAACCCTGTCTCTACTAAAAATACAAAAATTAGCAGGGTGTGGTGGTGGGCACCTGTAATCCCAGCTTCTAGGGAGGCTAAGACAGGAGAATCGCTTGAACCCGGGAGGCAGAGGTTGCAGTGAGCCGAGAATGTGCCACTGCACTCCAGCATGGGCAACAGAGCAAGACTCTGTCTCAAAACAAACAAACAAACAAACACAATAATTTTAAAATTTTAAAAAGAAACTGATAAATCAACAAACATAAAACTGCAATTATTAATAGGTAACATAAACACTGAGCATTTACTATGTATCAGTGTGCTAAGCACTTTAAATTTAATAACTCACTCCATCCTCCTACTTACCTTATGCAATAGATATCATTGCTCTCATTTTACAGAAAAGAAACAGTTTAGTATCTTGCCTCAAGTCATGCATCTAATAAGTGAATGGGGTCGTGCGCGGTGGCTCACGCCTGTAATCCCAGCACTCTGGGAGGCCGAAGCAGGTGGATTGCTTGAGGTCAGGAGTTCGAGACCAGCCTGGCCAACATGGTGAAACCCCATCTCTACTAAAAATACAAAAATTAGCCGGGCATCATGGCAGTCTCCTGTATTCTCAGCTACCTGGGAGGCTGAGGGAGGAGAATTGCTTGAACCCAGGAGGCGGAGGTTGCAGTGAGTCAAGATCGTGCCACTGCACTCCAGCCTGGGCAACAGAGCAAGACTCCATCTCAAAAAGAAAAAAAATAAATAATTCAATAAGTGAATGAACAGGAATTGGGGTCTCAAAGGGATTTAGCCTAGTAAGGGAAGTCACAAATGAGCTGAGATACGAAGATAGTGTTTGCCAGTGTGGGGAAGAGTGAAGAACCACCCAGGCAGTGGGCAGAGGGAAAAAAATGTTCAGGGCCGGGTGCGGTGGCTCACTTCTGTAATCCCAGCACTTTGGGAGGCCGAGGAGGGTGGATCACCTAAGGTTGGGAGTTCAAGACCAGCCTGGGCAACATGGTGAAACCCCCGTGTCTACTAAAAATACAAAAAATTACGCAGGTGTGGTGGTACATGCCTGTAATCCCAGCTACTCTGGAGGCAGAGGCACGAGAACTGCCTGAACCCAGAAGGCAGAGGTTGCAGTGAGCCGAGATTGCGCCACCGCACTCCAGCCTGGGGCGGTAGTGGGGGGGTATGGGGAGAAAGAGTGAGACTCTGCCTCAAAAAAAAAAAAAAAAAAAAAAAAAAGGCCGGGCACAGTGGCTCACGCCTGTAACCCCAACACTTTGGGAGGCCGAGGCGGGCGAATCACAAGGTCAGGAGATCGAGACCATCCTGGCTAACACGGTGAAACCCCGTCTCTACTAAAAAATACAAAAAATTAGCCGGGCGTGGTGGCGGGTACCTGTAGTCCCAGCTATTCGGGAGGCTGAGACAGGAGAATGGCGTGAACCCAGGAGGCAGAGCTTGCAGTGAGCCGAGATCGCGCCACTGCCCTCCAGCCTGGGCAACAGAGCAAGATTCCAGCTCAAAAAAAAAAAAAAAAGTTCAAAGGCCCCATGGAAGAAGGTAGGAGTATGGAATATACCAGAAATCTAAATTTAAAAAAAAATGTGGGGGTGACTGGAGAGGTAGGCTGAGAGTATGCTGTGGATGGGAATGGTGGCAGGAACGTATGCTGAGTGGAAGTCAGCAGCTCAGGCAAAAAAAAAGACGGTGCCAGTATGGATGGAGAGAAGCCAGTGGGCTTGATAGATCTACGCAGAGGCAAAATACACTTCACTTCGTGAGGGACTGGATGCCCAGGTAATGGACAATATAGGAGGAATGATTTCTCAATTTCTGGTTAGCACTGAACTGAATAGATAATGGTGCCATCCGTGGAGATAGGGATCAAGAGGCCCAGACTTAGAAAGATAAAGAATTTGCTTTGGGATACGTATACTGAACTTAAAACCCTCTGAAGCATGGAATAAGCAGACAGATGACGGAAGTTTGTCTTTTAGAGTAAAGGTGGCTCTGTACAAAGAAATTTGTGAGCAACTGACATATATTAATAGATGGCAATGGAATTGCCTTGGGGCCAGGCGCGGTGGTTCATGCCTGTAATTCCAGCATTTTGGGAGGCCGAGGCGGGCGGATAACTTGAGGTCTGGTGTTCGAGATCAGCCTGGCCAACATGATGAAACCCAGTCTCTAATAAAAACACAAAAAGTAGCCGAGTGTGGTGGCGCACACATGTAGTCCCAGCTACTCGGGAGGCTGAGACAGGAGACTCACTTGCACCCGGGAGACGGAGGTTGCAGTGAGCCGAGATCGCGCCTCTGCACTCCAGCCTGGGCGACAGTGAGTGTCGCCCAGGCTGGAGAAAAAAAAAGAAATTGCCTCGGGAGTCAAGAGGGCCTAGAGGGAGCCTTGATTCAACAAAAATTTACAAAGAGGGACTTACAAATAAGACGGGGATAGACCTGCCAAGCTGAGCCACTAAAAACCAAGGAAGAGGGTGTGACCTGAAGCAAGCAGGGCTTAAACGCAAACGCTGCTGAGAACTCAGGTAAGCTGAAAACGGAAAAGGGCTGGATTTAGCAACTTGGAGGCCACTGGTACCTTCAGCCAGGGTTTTCTACAGCGATCAAAGGGATGACTGGAGTGGGTTAAAGAGTTGATGAAAGGCGAGGAAAGGAAGTGGCTGAAACCAGACAAGAAGTTTGGCTGTGGGTGGGGAAAGGAGAAGAGACAGAAAGTGTCCGCAGGTGGAAGATGCAGAGAAAGGCAAGCGTTTATTTAGTTTGTTCTTACGTAGGAAAAATGTGAGCATGTTTTAAAGACGATCGAAAGAATGCTTTGAGGAGGGGGCGATGACACTAGAGGGACGCCCGGCGGGTCCCCACCGCCCCCCGCCATCTCCTCCCCTCGCGTTCATCCCCCGTCGCCCCGGGCTCCCCTCCCCCTCTCTACTCCGCGAGGCTCGGGGCCGCAGCCACCCCGGACCGCCGGCCCAGCCCCCGGCACCTCCTCACCGCAATGGCCCCCTCGCTCAGTTGGCCGACCATGGCTCCACCGCCAAGACTTCCCCGCGGACCCCGCAACAGCTCCAGCTTCCCCACCCGGGTCCCGCGCGCTGCGCAGTTATTGGCCCGAGAAGTTGCGCGCACCGCTCCCGCCCCCGACGTGCGCGCGGCTCAGGGGCGGGCCCGGGCGCTACGCAGCCGCCGCATTGGCCGAGGCGCGGCCCACGTGACCCACCCATGGTCCCAAGCGAGGCCTGGCGCGGGACGCCGGACGCGGTGCGGGGCGGAGCGGGGCGCCAAGGGGCGCGCCAGGAGCTGCGCGGGCGCTGGGAGGGAGACCAGGGCGCAGTTCCGGGCGCGTCTGAGCGGTTCTCGAGGCGTTCTCGCCTCGGTCTCTGGCGAGTGCACGGGTTGGTATCCCAGAGGAGGTTAAAGCTGTTCCTTGAGACCTCCGCTGCTAAATAGAGTCGCAGTAGTGACCCGATTCGTCCAGCAACGCGGGGCTGACTTCCCGCCTCCAAGCCCTGAGCTTGGCACCGTGGCGGTGGGGGGTGGGGGTGGGGGGTCTCCGAAAGGGAATCAGACCCGGCCCCCGTCCTTAGAGAAGAGGACAGTGTGTGGGGGCACTTTATGCCGTCAGTAACCCCACCTCCAGGTAGACGTGGTACAGGCCCCAAGGGTGTTGGAATCACAGCTGGGAAATCAGGGACGCCGTCCCGGAGGAGGTGCCATTTGAGCCGAGTCGAAGAACGTGTGGGAATTTTCCAGGTGGACTCCATAAGCCAGGGTAGGGTTGGTCCGGAAAGCATGAGTAGCCTATGCCAAAACATTGGAGAGTTGAAATAGCCTGGCAAGCCGGGGATAGCAATGAGTTGTTCAGTATGCAAGGGTGCATGCAGAGGAGTAAGTGACACCTGAGAATTAGAAAGTCAGACAAGGGTCAAGTAAGGATGGTTTTGTCCTGGGCTTCCTGGTATGCTTGGAGTAGCGTTGATGAATTTAAGGGCAGAGCACTGACTTCTGTCTCAGTGTTGGAGGCTGGATTGAAAGTGGGGAGTGGTGCCAATGGCATGGACATTAATTATAACACTCTAGGAAGAATGCCAGACGAGATGGTGAGGACTTAATCAGAACGCTGAACTATGTAAGAGAGGGAAATACCTTGTTAAATGAATAGTTGCTGGGGTGGGTGAGAAAGAAAAATCTGGGATGTGTCTCAGAGAAACTAGAGAGGGATCAGGCCGGGCGCGGTGGCTCACGCCTGTAATCCCAGCGCTTTGGGAGGCCAAGGCTGGCGGATCATCTGAGGTCAGGAGTTCGAGACCAGCCTGGCCAACATGGTGAAACCCCGTCTCTACTAAAAATACAAAAATTAGCCGGGCGTAGTTGCGCGCATCTGTAATCCCAGCTACTCGGAGGCTGAGGCAGGAGAATTGCTTGAACCTGGGAGGCGGAGGGTGCAGTGAGCCGAGATGGTGCCACTGCACTCCAGCCTGGGTGACAGAGCAAGACTCTGCCTCACAAAAAAAAAAAAAAGAGGATCTAAGAGCACAGATGGTAGCTATCTAGTCTGCTTCGTCTTTGTATAACCATCACCTGCATGGTGCCTGTGACAAAGTAGTCTTTCAGTAAATATTTCTGAATGGAAGGATGTTGAGTGAATTGCTGTGAGAAAATATAGATCCTTCCTTAGCATATAAACTAGAGGAAAAGACCACAAGAATTGATTTTATTGTTTCAGGCTTCCTTGAATGAAATCTTGATTTTCCTTTTTTTTTTTTTTCCGAGACAGAGTCTTGCTCTGTCACCCAGGCTGGAGTGCAATGGCGTGATCTCAGCTCACTGCAACCTCCGCCTCCCCAGTTCACGCAGTTCTCTTGCCTCAGCCTCCCGAGTAGCTGGGACTACAAGTGTGCGCCACCACACCTGGCTAATTTTTTTGTAGTTTTAGTAGAGACGGGGTTTCACTGTGTTAGCCAGGATGGTCTCCATCTCCTGACCTCGTGATCCACCTACCTCGGCTTCCCAAAGTGCTGGGATTACAGGTGTGAGCCACCGTACCTGGCTGAACTCTTGATTTTCTAAAATTGTGCATTTGTAAGATTCCTATTTTCTTACTCATTTTATAGATCAAAAGCAGCATGGATCTGCCTGTGGATGAATGGAAATCATATCTGCTTCAAAAGTGGGCTTCACTCCCGACGTCTGTTCAGGTCACAATTTCTACAGCAGAGACCTTGAGGGATATCTTTCTTCACTCCTCTTCACTTCTTCAGTAAGTAAATCAAGCTTTAACAAGGGAATTGTGAGCCAAAAAATGTTCTATTTTGTCATTTGCTCTGAAGTAATGTGTCTTTTTCTTAAATAAAGATTGAGTCTTGCTTGTTTCCCAGGCTGGTCTCAAATTTCTGGGCTCAAGCAATCCTCCCACCTTGGCCTCCCAAGGTGCTGGGAGTACAGGCGTGAGCCACCATGTCTGGCCTGGTAACATCTCTTTTTGATGGAAAATGCCTGAAGTACTTTTCCTGGTTCGTTTCTATCCCAGCGTGTCCTGTGAACTAATTCACTTCTGTCATCCTGCAGGATTAGCCAGATCTTTCCTCAGGAAAGCTCTCCCTGAGCCTCAGCTGGGCCATCTTCACTCTTTGTACATTTACAATGCTGTGTGATTTTCCTTTATATATGTGTGTGCTCTTTTGACTAATGCCTGCCTTTGCCGCTAGATTGTGAACTTCATGAGGGAAGGGACCGTGTTTGTATTTGTTTTTCTTTTTTTTTTTTTCTTTTTTTCTTTTTCTTGAGACTGTCTCGCTCTGTCACCCAGGCTAGAGTGCAGTGGCGCAATCTCAGCCCACTGCCTCCGCCTCCCGGGTTCAGGCAATTCTCGTATCTCAGCTTCCCGAGTATTTGGGATTACAGTCGCACACCACCATGCTCGGCTAATTTATTTATTTATTTATTTTTATTTTATTTTATTTTTTTTGACACAGGGTCTCACTCTGTCACCCAGTCTGGAGTGCAGTGGCACAATCTCAGCTCACTGCAATCTCCACCTCCTGGGTTCAAGCGATTCTCATGCCTCAGCGTCCCAAATAGCTAGGATTACAGGCGTACACCATCATGCCCAGCTCACATTTTTGTATTTTTAGTAGAGACAGGGTTTCACCATGTTGGCCAGGCTGGTCTTGAACTCCTGCCCTCAAATGATCCGCCCGCCTCAGCCTCCCAAAGTGCTGGGATTACAGGCATGAGCCACTGTGCCCGGCCTGTTTGTCTTTCTATAGACAAAAATAGTGCAGTGTCAAAAAATAAGTGGTTAGTAAACATTAATTGAATGACAACTTGGTAATGTATATAAAGTTCTTAGTTTAGTTACTGGCTGTTATTAGTGCTTAAAATGACGTATAAAGCAGAACCTTATATATTTGCAGATCCAGAAACACACACCTTTCACGTTCAAGGTTGATGTCTTTATCTTTGTGCCAGGCACATAGTAGGCGCTCGTATATTAATTGAATGAAATAATGAGTTCAGTTTTGAGCCTTGCCAGTTCAGATACTCGGTACAGTTAGGGTTATACTTTTTTTGTTAGTCTTCATTTCTTTTCTTTTCTTTTCTTTTTTTTTTTTTTTTTTTTTTTTTTTGGACAGAGTTTTGCTCTTGTTGCCCAGGCTGGAGTGCAGTGGCACAGTCTTGGCTCACTGCAACCTCCGCCTCCCAAGTTCAAGTGATTCTCCTGCCTCAGCCTCCCGAGTAGCTGGGATTGCAGGCGCATTCCACCATACCCGGCTAATTTTGTATTTTTAATAGAGATGGAGTTTCGCCATGTTGGGCAGGCTGGTCTCCAACTCCTGGCCTCAGGTGATCCGCCCGCCTTGGCCTCCCAAAGTGCTGGGATTGCAGGCATGAGCCACTGCGCCCGGCCCCCCAGTGCATTTTTATTTCTCGTGTGTATTGCCTATTTGTGTCCCTTGCCCATTTTCTAGCAGGTTGTCTTTATTCTCTTGTTCATTTGTAGGAGATCTTCATAAATCTAGCTGTATAGTTCTTTGCTATGTAAGTTACTATTTGTTGTATAAATTATTCCCAATCTGTTTATCTTTTTTACCCTATTTACAATGTAAATGTTTTACATTTACATTGTATATAAATTGTGTATATATGTTTCAAATTTTTAAATTTCATTTAAAATTTATTTTTAGACACAAGGTCTCAGTATGTTGCTCAGGCTGACCTCAAGCTCCTGGGCTCAAGCGATCCTCCTGTCTTCCTTAGGATGGTGGAGTGAACCATCCTAAGCAAGACACAACCCAGAAGGTATAAAAGAAGATGAGGTTGGGTGCGGTGGCTCATACCTGTAAACCTAGCACTTTGGGAGCCAAAGGTGAGAGGATTGCTTGAGCCCAGGAGC
The DNA here is from genome assembly GCF_000001405.40 of Homo sapiens. Lineage (NCBI taxonomy): Eukaryota > Metazoa > Chordata > Mammalia > Primates > Hominidae > Homo > Homo sapiens. The sequence goes on along the minus strand of NC_000017.11, from coordinate 1,825,724 downwards.
CTGGGCAACATAGTGAGATTCCATCTCTATAAACAAATTTTAAAAATTAGCCAAGCATGGTGGCATGTGCCTGTCGTCCCAGCTACTCAGGAGGCTGAGGTGGGAGGATCACTTGAACCTGGGAGGTCAAGGCTGCAGCGAGCCATGATTGTGCCACTGCACTCCAGCCTGGGTGACAGAACAAGACTATTTCTCAAAAAAAAAAAAAAAAAAGAAAGAAAATGACAGATATGGCTGTATAAAAATGAAGCCAGACAACATGACATGTGCCTGTAATTCCAACTACTTGGGAGTTGATAAAAATGTTCATTGTTTTCTGCTAACATTTTTTTACCTTTAGCTCTCTAATCCTTCTGCACTTTTTCCTCCATCTTTATTGAGGTATAACTGACAAAATATACGTTTAAGGGGTACAACATTATGTTATGATGTATGTATACATCTCCAATTGATTTTGTGTACTATGTGAAGGAATATTCTCACTTTTTTTCCAGGTGGACAATTTTTCTGTAGCATTTAATGCATGACGCATCCTTTCCCCAGTGCTTGCAAATGCCTCAGTTATTAAAATTAAATTCCTACTCATGTTACTCCATTCTCACGTTGCTATCAAGAAATACCCAAGACTGGGTAATTTATAAAGAAAAGAGGTTTAATTGACTCACACATGGCTGGGAAGGCCTCAGGAAACTTACCATCATGGTGGAAGACGAAGGAAAAAAAGGCACAGCCCTCACAGGGTGGCAGGAAGGAGAAGTGCTGAGCAAAGGGGGAAAGCCCCTTATAAAATCATCAGATTTCACCGGGCGCGGTGGCTCACGCCTGTAATCGCAGCGCTTTGGGAGACTGGGGCAGGAGGATCACTTGAAGTCAGGAGTTCAGGACCAGCCCAGCCAACATGGTGAAACCCCATCTCTACTAAAAATGCAAAAAAAAAATTAGCCAGGCATTGCGGCATGTGCCTGTAACCGCACCTACTCAGGAGGCTGAGACAGGAGAATTGCTTGAACCTGGGAGACGGAGGGTGCAGTGCGCTGAGATTGTGCCACTGCTCTCCAGCCTGGGCAACAGAGCAAGACTCCATCTCAAAAAATAAAAATATAAATATAAATAAAATAATCAGATTTCGTGAGAACTCACTCACTATCACGAGAACAGCATGGGGAAACCACTCCCACGATTCTGTTACCTCCCATCAGGTCCCTCCGACAACACAGGCTTCTGGGAAATAACAGTTCAAGATGAGATTTGGGTGGGGACACAGCCACGCCATATCACTACTTATCCACAAATTTGTTTCTAGGCTCTAGATCTGTGCCGGAACAAAAGGGTTTTAATTACTGTGACTTTATAGTGTATTTTATTAGTATTATTTTTCTTTTGAGACTGAGCCTCCCTCTGTCGCCCAGGCTGGAGTGCAGTGGCGCAATCTCAGCTCACTGCAACTTGTGCCTCGTGGGTTCAAGCGATTCTCCTGTCTCAGCCTCCCAAGTAGCTAGGGTTACAGGCACACGCCATCATGCCCGGCTAATGTTTGTATTTTTAGTAGAGACGGGGTTTTACCATGTTGGCCAGGCTGGTCTCAAACTCCTGACCTCAGGTGACCCATCCACCTTGGCCTCCCAAAGTCCTGGAATTACAGGCGTGAGCCACCCCACCTGGCCTATAGTGTCATTTTAGAAACTCTAGAACTCTTCAGTTTCAAGTAACAGAAACCCCCTTCAAAGTATGAAACTTTTAGCTATGAAACTAGGCTATCTGAAGGGAGATCTATTTTCAGGCTAGGTTGTATTCAGGGGCTCAAAGGATGTCATCAGAATGTGTATTTCTTCATGTGTCAGACAGATTCTCTCCATCTAGTGGGTGCTATAACCATTCACAGCCCTGGGCACACCCTGATAGTGTAATAACACCCCAGGGGAAGAGGCTGTCTTTCTGAAGTTTCAGCAGAAAACTTCTGGGTGGGGCTCAGGTCAACTGAATTTTGATCACATGCACATCCCTTCAACCAGAGGTATGAGACTCCTCTGATTGGCCAGGCCTGTGTCATGTGCCCAACCCTGCTGTGAAATGGGGTCTACCCTTCTTCAGCCTCAAAAAATGGATTCCCCACTGAGATTTACCGGAAGTAGAGAGAAAGGGTACTTGAAAGCAGGGGAGTCTCAGTACCCAGGCGGCTCCCAGGAAGTGGCCCAGAGGCCAGCTTCCTGCTCGCACACACATAGTCATTGTTCGTATTCCAGAATATCTTGGGTATTTTGTGTGCATTTCCCCCATGTGAACTTTAGAATTGGCTTGTCAAGTTCTTTTTTTTTTTTTTTTTTTTTTTTTGAGACGGAGTCTCGCTCTGTCACCCAAGCTAGAGTGCAGTGGCGTGATCTCGGCTCACTGCAAGCTCTGCCTCCTGGGTTCATGCCATTCTCCTGCCTCAGCCTCTCGAGTAGCTGGGACTACAGGCGCCTGCCACCACGCCCAGCTAATTTTATTTTATTATCTTTTTTTTTTTTTTTGTATTTTTAGTAGAGATGGAGTTTCACCACGTTAGCCAGGATGGTCTTGATCTCCTGACCTCATGATCCACCCGCCTCAGCCTCCCAAAGTGCTGGGATTACAGGCGTGAGCCACCGTGCCCGGCCAGCTTCTCAAGTTCTATAAAAAATGTTGTTGGGCTTTTGATTGGGAATGTGTTGGATTTATAGATTCACTTAAGGAGACCTGACATCTTTACAATATTAAATTTCCTAATCCAAATAAAGGGTATGTCCATTTCTTTAAGGCTTCTTCTATGTCCTTAAGTAAAGTTTTATAGTTTTCTTTATATAGGTCTTACACATTTCATGTTCGATTTATTCTTCTTGTAAGGTTTTTGTTGTTATTGTGAATAAGGCTTTTCCCCCCAATTACATTCTCTAATTGGTGATTGGTGGTGTAAATAAAAGGTAAGAGTTTTTAAATCATCTGACCGGGTGCAGTGGCTCACACCTGTAATCCCAGCATGTTGGGAGCCCAAGGCGGGTGGATCACCTGAGGTCAGGAGTTCAAGACCAGCCTGGGCAACGTGGTGAATGAAACCCTGTCTCTACTAAAAATACAAAAAATTAACTGGCCATGGTGGCGGGCACCTGTAATCCCAGCTGATACCATGGTGGGTTATGGTAGCCTCAGAATGAATTGGAGAGCTTCCCGCCTTTTTCTGTGCTCTGAAATAGCTTATATAATGTAGGAATTATGTGCTTCTTAAAGGCTAGTAGAAAAATTCTGTAAAACTATGTAGACCAGATGCCTTAGTGAAAATATTTTCCTTCCTTAGTTTAATTTTTTATCAGAATAATATGCATACATACTTTAAGAAATCAAATAGTGCTTCAAAACTTATCAGGAAAAACAGCAACTCCCTGTCCACTCTTCCCCATTCCTGATTCTTATTCCCCAGAGACAGCTACTTTAAATTAACTGTTTCTTCTGGCATTTAATTTTTTTTTTAACAGGTTGAGTCAGAGTCTCACTCTGTTACCCAGGCTGGAGTGCAGTGGCGCGATCTCTGTTCACTGCAACCTCTGCCTCCCAGGTTCAAGTGATTATCTTGCCTCAGTCTCCCGAGTAGCTGGGATTACAGGCATGCACTACTATATATGCCTAAAATATATAATTTTTATATTTTTAGTAGAGACAGGGTTTCACCATGTTGGCCAGGCTAGTCTCAAACTCCTGACCTCAAGGGATCCACCCGCCTCAGCCTCCCAAAGTGCTGGGGTTACAGGCATGAGCCATCACACCAGACCTTTTTTTTTTTTGAGACAGAATCTCACTCTGCCACCCAGGCTGGAGTGCAATGGCACGATCTGGGCTCACTGCAACCTCTGCCTCCCAGGTTCAAGCGATTCTCATGCCTCAGCCACCCAAGTAGCTAGGATTACAGGTGTGTGCCATCACACCCAGCTAATTTTTGTATATTTAGTAGAGATGGGGTTTCACCATGTTGGCCAGGCTGGTCTCAAACTCCCAACCTCAGGTGATCTGCCCACCTTGGTCTCCCAAAGTGCTGGGATTACAGGTGTGAGCCACTGTGCCCAGCCTTCTGACACGTAATTTATTATTTCTAAACATTGCAAATACTGCTCTTTCTTGAGTTTGTATAATTTTAGATGTAATTTTGCTCTCTTCTTCCCAACTCACAGGTATATACTTTGTTTTTTGTTTTTGTTTTTTTGAGACAGAGTTTCGCTCTTGTCACCCAGCCTGGAGTGCAATAGTGCCGTCTTGGCTCACAGCAGCCTCCGCCTCCTGGGTTGAAGCGATTCTCCTGCCTCCACCTCCCGAGTAGCTGGGATTACAGGCATGCACCACCGCGCCCAGCTAATTTTGTATTTTTAGTAGAGACGGGACTTCTCCATATTGGTCAGGCTGGTCTCAAACTCCTAACCTCATGTGATCCACCCTCCTCGGCCTCCCAAAGTGCTGGGATGACAGGCGTGAACCCCCTTGCCCGGCCTATACTTTGTTTTTCCCTCATTCCCTCATGATAACTGTTATATAACCAATAGAGTATTAAATTGATTGAACCAACATTCAATGCATACATTCTTATGTCTGTGTGAGTCTTGTTCACATGAACCGTGAAGGATGCTTTGAATTACATTTCCTTTCTTGTACTGCTCTCGTTTCCCCTGGGGTTAATAAATCACCTCCATTTTTGTTTGCTCTGTATGTCTCTCACTAATTCATACCCAGACCTCTCTCCTTAAAAACAAGTTAGCTCAAAGAGCTATTTGTAATTCTGTTCCATCACAATCTAAAGTAACCAAAAAAGATTTAAACTTCTGATCTCCACATGCATGCCTGTTAGGTAAAAATAGGAACTGGCCCTTTAAAGTTTAAAGCCAAGCACACACTTTTCTTTCTTGCCAATAGACATTCTTTGAGGAATGTTTTCCCACAAGAGATGCCTTTCATCTATTGAAAACCTTTTGAGACACACGACCTCCCACTGTCCACCCCTACCTCTCCACTCCTGCAATTAATAATCTCCCAGAGTGTTGTAGGAAATTCTTAATAGCTTCACTATCCACATTCACAGGCTTATTGTTTGTTTTTATTTTGTGCTGATTCAACTGGAATAACCTGTGTCAGAAAACAAGGACGTGCTCGAAGACTAATAGATTTATATAAAAAAGAGCGTAGGCCAGGTATGGTGACCCCATTCACACCTGTAATCCCAACACTTTGGGAGGCTTAGGCAAGAGGATCGCTGGAGCCCAGGAGTTTGAGACCAGCCTGGGCAACATAGTGAGACTGTGTCTCCACAAAAACATAAAAAGTTAGCTGGGCATGGTGTCACATGCCTGTAGCCATAGCTATTTGGGAGGCTGAGGTGGGAAAATTGCTTGAGCCCAGGATGTCGAGGCTGTCGTGAGCTATGATGGTACCACTGTCCTCCAGCCTGGGCAACAGAGCAAGACCCTGGATCAAAAACAACAAAAAAGAACATAGGAACCAGTCTGAAGAGGTTGTCACTGGCCAATATTAGCATAATTTGACCATGAAAAAGTATAATGGTGATAATAGTTTATGATAATAAATTGTTTAAGTCCATGGTGGTACTCTAAATATCCGAGTTTACTTTCTTAATTGACTTTTGGCCGGGCATGGTGGCTCATGCCTGTAATCCCAGCCCTTTGGGAAGCCAAGGCAGGTGGATCACCTGAGCTCAGGAGTTTGAGACCAGCCTGGCCAACATGGCAAAACCCCATCTCTACTAAAAATGCAAAAATTAGCTGGGCGTGGTGTCAGGTGCCTGTAATCCCAGGTACTTGGGAGGCTGAGGCAGAAGAATTGCTTGAACCCCAGAGGCGAAGGTTGCAGTGAACCAGGATCGTGCCACTGCACTCCAGCCTGGGAAACAGAGTGAGACTCTGTCTCAAAACAAACAAAAATAAGTAAATACATATTATGTCTGTGTAAATATTGCTCACATGAAACAAGTAAAAGAAGGAAAAGGAGAAAGTTTGTCTTTACCAAAGATTGCCAGCTAATAAATTTAGAAATAATGGTAGAATTAGAAAAATCGCCATTTTGTAACCCCTAGTGTGATGGAATGATTCTGGCAATTATCAGTAGATGCGCAAACCTTTAGAAGTAACATCACTGGGAAACAGGCTCTTCACATGATCTCAAAGTATGGCCCTATAGAGTATTTAAGTACAAGGGAAAGGTGTCTTTACATTGCAGAGATTCAGCAATTGCCACATTAAGTAAGTGACCAAACTTAGCTTCCATAATACTGGGGAGACATTATATGTCTCCTGATTTGAGGCAACAAGAAGTATATAGATTTAACTATGTAGTCATTTTGTTTGTTTGTTTGTTCTGAGACGTAGTCTCTCTCTGTCTCCCAGGCTGGAGTGCAGTGGCACAATCTCTGCTCACTGCAACCTCTGCCTCCCGTATTCAAGCGATTCTCCTGCCTCGGCCTCCTGGGTAGCTGGGATTACAGGCATGCACCACTGTGCCTGGCTAATTTTTGTATTTTTAGTAGAGACGGGGTTTCACCATGTTGCCCAGGGTGGTCTCGAACTCCTGACCTCAGGTGATTCGCCTGCCTCGGCCTCCCTAAGTGCTGGGATTACAGGTGTGAGCCACCACACCCAGCCGTATTCTTAATAAAAATTGTTTAATGTGAATCTAACCATGAGGAAACAATGAAGCGAAACCAGAATGTGAAACGTTTTTCTGGTGTTGAATCTTTAAAAAAAATTACTCATTAAAAAAATTGTAATTGGCCAGGTGCAGTGGCTCACACCTATAATCCCAGCACTTTGGGAGGCTGAAGCAGGTGGGTCCCTTGAGCCCAGGAGTTTGAGGCCAGCCTGGGCAACATAGCGAGACCCCATCTCTATTTTATAAAAATAAAAAGTAATTTAGCCACGCATGATAGTACGTGCCTATAGTCCCAGCTACTCGGGAGGCTGAGGCAGGAGGTAGAGGTTGCAGTGAGCAGAGGTCGTACCACTGCACTCCAGCCTGAGCAATGGAAGTGAGACCTGTCTCGAAAAAAAAATTAAAAATAAATTTAAAAATTATACCACTATCTAAAAAGAGGCTAAAGAGAAATAACTAAATTCAATACATGAGAACGTTGATCTTGGATTGGTTAGGGTGAGAAAAAGATACAACAGACATATTAGGAATAATTGGTAACATTTACATTTAAATAATATTTGAATTACTGTTAATTTTTTAGTGATAATGATATTATAGTAATATAGGAGAATGTCCTTATTTTTAAAGCAGAGGCCTGCGAATATTTAGAGGTGAACATCCATGATGCCTGTACTTACTTTCAAATGGCTTAGAGAAAAAATGATGCATATGTGGATATGTCCCAGGTATTAAGCGATTATGTCCAATCTCAGTAATCTGCACTCTACTTTGGAGCCAGAGCTGGGACTTTCTCCTTCGCCAGTTAGCTCCATGAAAGGCTTTACATCCCCAGAGTTCTAGAGAGAGATGGCAAGGCTGGAGAAAGAAAAAATGTGTTTTTTTTCTGTCTGTATCCTAATGACAAGCTACATGCAAAAGGCTGAAGTTGTGCCTTCATATACAAAAATTAATTCAAAATGGATCAGAGACCTAAAGTTAAGAGCTAAGATTGTAAACAACTTTTTTTTTTTTTTTTTTTGAGACAGAGTCTTGCTCCATCGCCCAGGCTGGAGTGCAGTGGCACGATCTCGGCTCACTGCAAGCTCCGCCTCCCGGGTTCACGCCATTCTCCTGCCTCAGCCTCCCGAGTAGCTGGGACTACAGGCACCCGCCACCACGCCTGGCTAATTTTTTGTATTTTTAGTAGAGACGGGGTTTCACCATGTTAGCCAGGATGGTCTCAATCTCCTGACCTCGTGATCCGCCCACCTCGGCCTCCCAAAGTTCTGGGGCGTGATCCACTGTGCCCGGCCAATTGTAAACTTCTTAAAAGAAAACATAGGGGAAAATCTTGACATTGGATTTAGCAGTTATTTCTTGCATATGACACCAAAAGCACAGGCAACAACAAAAAAAATAAACTGTACTTTATCAAAATTAAAACTTTTAGGCTGGGCATGGTGGCTCACAGCTGTAATCCCACCACTCTTTTGAGAGGCCAAGGCGGAAGGATCACTTGAGCCCAGGAGTTCGAGACCAGCCTGGGCAACAAGTGAGACCCCGTCTCTACAAATAATATAGCCAGGCATGGTGGCGCATGCCTGGAGCCCCAGCTACTCAGGAAGCTGAGGTGGGAGGATTACTTGAGCCTGGGAGGTCAGTCAAGGCTGGAGTGAGCCATGACCAAGCCAACTACACTCCAGCCTGGGCGACAGAGCAAGACCTTGTCTCAAAAAAAAACAGTTTTAGGCCAGGCGCGGTGGCTCACGCCTGTAATCCCAGCACTTTGGGAGGCTGAGGTAGGCAAATCAGTTGAGGCCTGGAGTTTGAGACCAGCCTGGCCAACATGGTGAAACCCTGTCTCTACTAAAAATACAAAAATTAGCCAGGCGTGGTGGTGCGTGCCTGTAATCCCGGCTACTCGGGAGGCTGAGGCAGGAGAATCACTTGAACCCGGGAGGCGGAGGTTGCAGTGGCCGAGAAACTGAACTTCTGCCTGGGCGACAGAGTGAGACTGTCTTAAAAAAAAAAAAAAAAGGTTTTGTGCACCAAGGACAGTATCAAGAGAGTGAAAGGATAACCCACAGAATGGGAGAAACTATTTGCAAATCATGTATCAGATAAGAAATTAATATCCGAAATATATAAAGAACTCCTACAACTCAATAACAAAAAAATCAGATTAAAAATAGGCAAAGGACTTGACTCATTTCTCCAAAGAAGATACACAAATAGCCAGTAGACACACGAAAAGATGTTCAACATCATTCATAATCAGAGAAACACACACCAAAACCACAGTGAGAGATCACTTCACACACCTACAAAAAGGCCATAGTGTGCGATCATTGTGCCTGTAGCTAGACTGTGCCTGTTGCCCAGGTTAGAGTGCAGAATAGCTACTGCCCTCCAGCCTGGGCGACAAAGGGAGACTCCATCTCTTAAAAAAAAATTTTTTTTTTTTTTGAGACAGAGTCTCGCTTTGTCGCCCAGGGTGGAGTGCCGTGGTGTGCTCTCGGCTCACTGCAACCTCCGCCTCCTGGGTTCAAGTGATTCTCTTGCCTCAGTCCCCCGAGTAGCTGGGATTACACACACGCACCACCACACCTGGCTACTTTTTTGTATTTTTGGTAGAGACGGGGGTTTCACCTTGTTAGCCAGGACGGTCTCAATCTCCTGACCTCGTGATCCACCCGCCTCGGCCTCCCAAAGTGCTGGGATTACAGGCGTGAGCCACCGCGCCTGGCCAAAAAAAAATTTTTTTAAATAAGCAAAATTCTGGTTTATACTACAACATGATGTACCTTGAAAACTTTTTGCTAAGTGAAATAAGTTAGACACAAAAGGAAAAGTAATGTATGATTACATTTACATGAAATACCTGGAATAAGTAAATTCACAGAGGCAGAAAGCAGAATGGAGTTTGCCAGGGGATGTGGAGAGGGAGGAATGAGGAGTTATGGTTTAATGGGTAGAGTTTCAGCATGGGATGATGAAAAAACTTTGGAAATGAATAGTGCTGATGGTTGGATAATATGAATGTATGTAATGCCAGTGAACTGTATGCTTAAAAAATGGTTTAAATAGGCCGGGCATGGTGGCTCACACCTGTCATTCCAGCACTTTGGGAGGCCAAGGCGGGCGGATCACCTGAGGTCAGGAGTTCAAGACCAGTGTGGCCAACATGGTGAAACCCCGTCTCTCCTAAAAAGACAAAAATTAGCTGGTCATGGTGGCAGGTGCCTGTAATCCCAGCTACTCGGGAGGCTGAGGCAGGAGAATCGCTTGAACCCGGGAGGCGGAGATTGCAGTGAGCCGAGATCACACCATTGCACTCCAGCCTCGGTGACAGAGCGAGACTTCGTCTCAAAAAAAAAAACATTAGATTGCTTTTTCCATCTTACTACCTCAATTTTTTTTTTTTTTTTAAGGCAGGGTCTTGCTGTGCTGACTGGGCTGGAGTGCAGTGGTGTGATCGTAGCTCACTGTAGCCCTGACCTTCTGGGCTCAAGCGATCCTCCCACCTCAGCCTCAATTTTTTTATCATAATATTCCAGAAGACATTAAAAAAAAAAAAAAAAGAATCGGCTGGATGCAGTGACTCACACCTGTAATCCTAACACTTTGGGAGGCCAAGGCAGGAAAATCACTTGAGCTCAGGAGTTTGAGAACAGCCTGGGCAAGGTATTGAGACATCATCTCTACTAAAAAATCAAAAAAGTATTCTGGGCACAGTGACTCAACACCTGTAATCCCAGCACTTTGGGAGGCCAAGGCGGGTGGATCATGAGGTTAGGAGTTGGAGACCTGCCTGATCAACATGGTGAAACCCCGTCTCTACTAAAAATACAAAAATTAGCTGGGTGTGGTGGCGGGCACCTGTAATCCCAGCTGCTCAGGAGGCTGAGGCAGGAGAATCACTTGAACCCGGAAGGCAGATGTTGCAGTGAGCCGAGATCGCACCACTGCACTCCAGCCTGGGTGACAGAGTGAGACTCCATCTCAAAAAAAGAAAAAAAAAAAGACATTGAGTTCATAATCTATTGTTAGGCAAGAAGAATTTTGCTATTATTACTGTTTACCACAAACCTTTTGTTTGAACTAGGGTTTTTAGGTTTAACCTAATTTAAAACAAAAACAGAAAAAAGAACAAGCTCTGCGGTGTACCAGACAGGCATAGGGTATTGCCTTCATATTTTCTGGACTGGAGTAAATGTAGAACAGGCAAGCACACCTCTTAAATTAAATAAAATCTTTCCTAGTTTTTCTTTTTTGTATTATTTGACCCAGGTTGGAGTGTGATGGTGCGATCTCAGCTCACTGCAACCTTCACCTCCCAGGCTCAAGCGATTCTCGTGCCTCGGCCTCCCAATAGCTGAGACTACAAGTGCTTGCCACCACGCCCGGCTAATTTTTGTATTTTTTGTGGAGGTGGGTTCCACTATGTTGCCCAGGCTGGTCGCAAACTCGTGGACCAGGTGACCTGCCCACCTCGGCCTCCCAGAGTGCTGGGATTACAGGTATAAGCCACTGCACCCAGCCCTATTTGTGACTTGTCTGTGTTGTATTTAAATATTAATAAAATCATATTTGATACTAACTTTGTTTTTACCTCATAGCAAAGATAATGTTTTATAAAATGTTAATAGATTCAAACACAAAAGCATTATACTGAGTCACAATGTGAAAGGTGTTCCTTATTGTGGGTCTTTGTAAACAAAAATTTTTAACTTACTTGTAAACATTCTCCAGGGCTTTTTGTTGTTGTTTTTTGTTTTTTTGAGACAGGGCCTTGCCCTGTCACCCAGGCTTGAATGCAGTGGGGCCCTCCTGGCTCACTGCAGCCTTGACTTCCTGGGCTCAGGCAGTCCTCCCACCTCAGCCTCCCGAGTAGCTGGGACTACAGGCATATGCCACCGCACCCAGCTAATTTTTGTATTTTTTGTAGAGACAGGGTCTTCCCATGTTGCCCAGGCTAGCCTCCTGAGCTCAGGCAATCTTCCCTCTTTGGCCTCCCAAAGTGCTGGAATTACAGGCGTGAGCCACCGCACCTGGCCATTCTGCAGCTCTGTGATTTCTTCTTTGATTCAAGAGTTACTTAAGATAATTTTTAGTTTCCATGTCATTTGTGTTTCTACTTTTGTTATTCATATTTTACTTTATGGCATTATAGTCAAAGAGAATAGTCTAGGTTATTCTATATTATTTCTTTTTATTGGAAAATAGGTATATTTTTTGTTAGTATGTGTATATGTCTCTATATTTATGTATTAGTTCAGCTTTATTAATTTTGTAGAGCATTTGTATATTTATTTCTTAAACTTCTTAGTTTGAAATAATTTCAGACTTACTTGCAAAAATAGTATAAAGAGGCCAGGCACAGTGGCTCACACCTGTGATCTAGCACTTTGGGAGGCCAAAGTGGGCAGATTGCCTGAGCTCAGAAGTTCAAGACCGGCCTCGGCAACATGATGAGACCCCATCTCTACTAAATATACAAAAAATTAGCTGGGCGTGGTGGCTCACACTCCTAGCTACTCCTGAGGCTGAGGCACAAGAATCACTTGCACCCAGGAGGCGGAGGTTGCAGTGAGCCGAGATCGTGCCAGTGCTGCACTACAGCCTGGGCAACAAAGTGAGACTCTGTCTCCAAAAAAAAAAGTACAAAGAATTGGTGAATTCTTCCAAATTTCGCAAGTGTTAACGTTTTACTACATTTACTTTATGATTCATTCTCATTATCTCTCTTCTGTCAGCCACTCAAGTATTTTCAGCAGTTGAAGTGGAGAATACTCCTTGATTCAAAAGACACCATATATTAGTCTCATTTTCCAGACTCAAGATCCTGGCTGGGCCCAGTAGCACATGCCTGTAATCCCAACACTTTGGGAGGCCCAGGCAGGCGGATCACTTGAGGTCAGGAGTTCAAGACAAACCTGGCCAAAATGGTGAAACCCTGCCTGTACTGAAAATACAAAAATTGGCTGAACGTGGTGGTGCATGCCTGTAATCCCCGCTACTCGGGAGGGTGAGGCAGGAGAATCACTTGAACCCAGGAGACAGAGTTTGCAGTGAGCTGAGATTGCACCACTGCACTCCAGCCTGGGTGACAGAGCGAAACTCTGTCTCAAAAAAAAAAAATCTTTTATGATGTATGATCCGAGGGATGGTTCGTTGGCCAATAATTATGAGATAAAGAATAAAAAATTAGCCTTCAGTCCTCTAAATAGAAATTCTGGCCAGGTGCGGTGGCTCACGCCTGTATTCCCAGCACTTTGGGAGGGTGAGGCAGGTGGACCATTTGAGGTCAGGAGTTCGAGACCAGCCTGGCTAACATGGTGAAATGCTTTCTCTACTAAAAATACAAAAATTAGCTGGGCCTGGTGATGGGCGCCTGTAATCCCACCTATTCAGGAGGCTGAGGCAGGAGAATCACTTGAACCAGGGAGGCGGAGGTTGCAGCGAGCCGAGATCATGATTCTGCACTCCAGCCTGGGTGACAGTGAGACTCCATCTCAAAAAAAAAAAAAAAAAAAAAAAGAAATTCTGCTGATCATTTGAGCCCAGGAGTTCAAGACCAGCCTGGGCAACATGGCAAAACCCCACCTCTACTAAAAGTACAAACATTAGCCAGGCCTGGTGGCACACATCCTCCCAATTAGTGCCAGCTACTCAGGAGGCTGAGGTGGGAGAATCATCTGAGCCTGGGAAGTCAAGGCTGCAGTGAGTGGAGATGGCACCACGGCACTCCAGCCTGGGTGACAGAGTGAGACCCTGTCTCAAAAAATTCTGGTCCCTGTGTCTCTGAGACTATGAGATTTCTTTCCTCTAATCACATTGCACAATGTACATATCCTCATGTGTGTGAAATGTTTTGCGGGCCCACTTTCTTGTTTTGAGGGCAATGGTTTAGAGCTTTCCTTGAAATAACACATTTCTGCTTACTTTGTTTCCTCCTTTCTTCATGCAGACCTGAGGATGAGCTGTTTCTAAAAAGACTTTCTAAAGGTTACTTGGTGGGAAAGGACTCGGACGCTCCTCTTTTCTACAGAGAAGAAGGAAACAAAAAATTTCAGGAGAAAGATTACACAGGAGCTGCAGTGCTGTACTCTAAGGTAAAACACTCCCAGCTCAAGCAATTTATTATTTATTTTTCTCTGAGACAGAATCTTGCTGTGTTACCCAGGCTGGAGTACAGTGGTATAATCTCAGCTCACTGCAACATTCGCCTCCTGGGTTCAAGCGATCCTCCCACCTTAGTCTCCTGAGTAGCTGGGATTACAGGCATGTGGCACCACGCCCAGCTAATTTTTGTATTTTTAGTAGAGATGGGTTTTCGCCATGTTGGCCAGGCTGGTCTCAAACTACTGACCTCAGGTGTTGCGCCCGCCTCAGCCTCCCAAAGTGCTGGGATTACAGGCATGAGCCACCATGCCCTGCCCAGCCCAGCAATGTAACAATGCGTGTTTCTTCAGGAGATGGACCCATATTGCTAAATTGTATAGCCAGTGTTATCTTTGTCTATAATTTATTGAATGGATTTGAAAAAGAAACCTGGCGGAATTCTGCTGTGGTTATAGTCTGAAACAAAAGGTAGTTTTTAGGCCCAGCACAGTGGTTCACACCCGTAATCCCAGCCCTTTGGGAGGCTGAGTCGGGAGGATCACTTGAGGCCAGGGGTTCAAGACCAGCCTGGACAATATAGGGAGACCCCTTCTCCACACACACAAATTTTTTTTAAATTAGCCTGACTAGTGGTGGCATGCATCTGTGGTCCTGAAACGGAAAAAGTTCCCTTGTTCCCCTCGCAGGGCGTGCGATGGAGGTGTGGCTCGCTTCCTCCGTGCCCTGCTACTCAAACCTCTAGGGGAGCATATAGATGGGCAGGCTGCGGGGCTCCGACCCCAGGGCAGTGTCTAGGGATGAATGTTTACAGTTGAAGCCCCAGTGGGCGTGTGTTACAGGGTGCTCTTTTAGTTTGCTGTCTATACGCGGCTTGTGTTAACCAGCTCAGTTAAACTCTCCACCTTGTCGCAAGGACAGAGGGCTTCCTGTATCCCGGGTTCTTGCCTTGGTGTGCTGGAAGAATCGGATCACACGTGGGCTTTAAGAATGAGTGCAAGGTTTTATTGAGTAGAAGTAGCTCTCAGCAGGTTGGGAGCCAGAAGGGAGATGGTTTTCCCCTGGAGTCAGGCCACTCAGAGGCCCACCTCTTTACCAGCTGCTCTGGCCAAAGTCCGTGTCCTTCTGCACTGGTCGATGGCATGCCGATGCCTGTCGGCTGCTCTTCCGCCGGCATACTCCTGACAACATCCAGCTGCTTATGTGTCTGCCTGCTAGGGTCTTGGGTTTTTATAGGCCCAGGCTGGGGGGCGTGGCAAACCAGGGTGGTCTTGGAAAATGCAACATTTGGGCGCGAAGGCGGGAGTGCTTGTCCTCACCTGGGTCAGTGGACACAGGCCCAAGGGTGAAGCCCTACCCAGGGACCCGCCTTTCTCTACACAGCAGTTCCCTGCCCCCCTCCCATATCAGTCCCAGCCAGTCAGGAGGCTGAGGCAGGAGGGTCACTGAGCCCGGGAGTTCCAGGCTTCAGTGAGCTGTGATCACTGCAACATTTGCCTCCCGGGTTCAAGCGATCCTCCCACCTTAGTCTCCTGAGTAGCTGGGATTACAGGTATGCGGCACCACGCCCAGCTAATTTTTGTATTTTTAGTAGAGATGGGTTTTCGCCATGTTGGCCAGGCTGGTCTCTGCACTACCCTGGGTGACAGAGTGAGACCCTGACTCAAAAAAAAAAAAGTAATTTATGTGTTCTGAATTTCTTCAAGAAACTTCTATTTCCATATTCCTTCCGATACCCTGTAGCAGTAAGCTTATGGGCCCCTCGCCTGCCTTGCCCATGTCTGTCAGCCCTTGTTGAACTACATGCCATTTTTGTCTGAATGTCTGATGAGACTGTTAGCTTGATAGAATTAGTAATCTATTATTCTTGGCTGGGCACAGTGGCTCACACTTGTAATCCCAGCCCTTTGGGAGGCTGAGGCAGGAGGATTGTTTAAGCCCAGGAGTTCAAGACCAGCCTGGGCAACATAGCAAGACCCCATCTGTAAAATAACGTATAAATGGGCCGGACACAGTGGCTCACACCTGTAATCCCAGCATTTTGGGAGGCCGAGGTGGGTGGATCAGGAGATTGAGACCGTCCTGGCTAACATGGTGAAACCCCATCTCTACTAAAAATACAAAAAATTAGCCGGGCACGGTGGCGGGCGCCTGTAGTCCCACCTACTCAGGAGGCTGAGGCAGGAGAATGGCGTGAACCCGGGAGGCGGAGCTTGCAGTGAGCCGAGATCGCGCCACTGCACTCCAGCCTGGGCGACAGAGCGAGACTGTCTCAAAACAATAATAATAGGCCGGGCGCGGTGGCTCACGCCTATAATCCCAGCACTTTGGGAGGCCGAGGCGGGTGGATCACAAGGTCAGGGGTTTGAGACCAGCCTGACCAACATGGTGAAACCCCGTCTCTACTAAAAATACAAAAAAATTAGCTGGGCGTGGTGGCGGGCGCCTGTAATCTCAGCTACTCAGGAGGCTGAGGCAGGAGAATTGCTTGAACCCGGGAGGCAGAGGTTGCAGTGAGCCGAGATCGCACCACTGCACTCCAGCCTGGGCGACAGAGCAAGACTCTGTCTCAAAAAAAAAAATAATAATAATAATAACAATAATAATAATGTATAAATGACTCTTATTGTCCTGCTTTCATAGTAAGAACTGGAACAAGATCCCCTGAGCAACTTCCTTCCGTAGCTTTTAAGATACTTATATGGGCTTAAAGCAGGAGTATGACAATCTCTTGCACCAGTTCTGTGACCTTGGATATTAAAAGAATAAGTTTAAATTTGAAGGGTAGGCTGGGCACAGTGGCTCACTCGTGTAATTCCAACACTTTGGGAGACCGAGGCGGGAGGATTGCCTGAGCCCAGGAGTTCAAGACAGGCCTAGGCAACACAGCGAGGCCCTGTCTCTGTTAAAAACAAAATTTGTTTTTCATTTGAAGGGTGTACATCCTACTCTGAATCTTTAACAGGTTTATGCTTGAACGTGCTTGAAGTTTGGGATTAATTTTCCAAAAACGATCACACCTACAACAGCAGCTTCTACAGCTGATAAAATCCCTGCTTTGTAGTGTTGTAATAAAGTATTTAGCTAAATAATGTAAGCTTTAGTGGTTGCTGAGGGATTAAAGTCCATTAGGTGTAATGATCCAGTGATAAATGGCTTAATAGTTCTTTTTTCAGAGCTAATCTCTTCAACTTTATGTATGTGCATCATAAATGTGATCACATGGGAAGTTCTTCAAGGAAAACAGGGAAAATAAAAACTGAAGCCAGAGAAAAAATTAAGGTTTGCTCTGAATGTGGAGGGAGATGAGCCTTCCTATTTCATGAAGCCAGTATGTTGGTGATTATGGTACTCTGCAATTTTCTAGAAAGCTGCTATTTTCTTTCTTTTTAAAAATATTTGTTGTTTTTGTCTGATTGTAAAAGTAATATATGTTTACTTCGGAAAGTACAGAGGAGCATAAAGAGTAAAAAAAAACCTCATAACCAGTGATAGGCACTGTTAACATTTTTGCTTACGTCCATCCAGCCAGACTTTTTCCTCCGAAAATACGTTTTTCTTTTACAAAATTGGGATAATGCTGCACTTTCTCTTTTGTGACCTGCTTTTTTCCTTCGACAATTGATTGTGCCCATTTTCTCATGTTATTAAATTTTCCACTGGAACATGGTTCTTTACGGCTGGCTTAGTGTTCCATGACAGAGAAAAAACCGTACTTGATTTCACATCTCCTAATGTTGGCAAATTGTTCGGGATCATAATACTGCAATGAGCATCTTTCTATGTAAATATGTGTATATATCTGATTGCTTGCTTAGGATAAATTCCTAGAAGGGTAATTGCTGGGGCAGAAGGAATGTATTTTTTAAGGTCTTTGGTATTTGATGCTGAATTGTTCTCCAGGAAAGAACTAGTTAACATCCCCTCTGGCAGACTATGGGGATATTAATTTCTCCATATCCCAAGCAGTACTGGTTGTGATGATTACGGTTTTATTATTATATCGATTTATTTGTGAGGAGGGAATCTGTTCATGTAGATTTTAAAAGTGCAAGAGTGTCCAGCGTCATCTGCCTCTCCTGTCCCCTGACCACATGATTTTCTGTTCCCATAAACTAGCACTGTTGAGTATATTTCCAGAGCATACTCCAGGCGTGTGTAAATACAGCCTTCCACTCCTGCACACACACCGTGTTTTTACATCAGTAACATTCTGCGCATATTGTTCAGCACCATGCCTTTTCCACTTAACAGTAATAATTTAAAGGTCATTCCATTTCAGTACATAAAGAGCGTCCTCAGGCCGGGCGCGGTGGCTCGCACCTGTAATCCTAGCACTTTGGGAGGCTGAGGCAGGTGGATCACCTGAGGTTGGAAGTTGAAGACCAGCCTGGCCAAAAGGGCGAAACCCTGTCTCTACTGAAAATAGAAAAATTAGCTGGGCGTGGTGGGGCCTGCGCCTATACTCCCAGCTACTCAGGAGGCTGAGACAGGAGAATCGCTTGAACCCTGGTGCGGGGTTGCCGGTGTGGGGGCCGGGGGGGGCGGTACGCGGAAGTTTTAGTGAGCCAAGAACACGCCACTTCACTCCAGCCTGGGCGAAAGAGCGAAACTCTGTCTCAAAAAAAAAAAAAGCATCCTCATTCTTTATGATGGCTACATGGCGTTCCATTAAATGGATGTATCAATTTATGTAACCAGTGTCCTGTGGATCGATGCTTGTTTCCTGTCTTTTGCTGTTTCAAACAAGTCTATGATGAGAAACTTTGCACAGGGCCGGGCACAGTGGCTCACACCTGTAATCCCAGCACTTTGGGAGACCGAGACGGGTGGATCACCTGAGGTCAGGAGTTCAAGACCAGCCTTGCCAACGTGGTGAAACCCTGTCTCTACTAAAAATACAGAATAAGCTGGGCATGGTGGCGTGTGCCTGTAACCCTAGCTACTTGGGAGGCTGAGGCTGGAGAATCGCTTGAACCCGGGAGGCGGAGGTTGCAGTGAGCTGAGATCACCCCACTGCACTCCAGCCTGGACGACAACGAGAGACTCTGTCTAAAAAAAAGAAAAAAACCCTTGTATGTATGTCATTTTTCATATATAACTGTAGGATAAGTGATTGTATCTGTAGGATTAATTCCTAGAAGAGGAATTGCCTGGTCAATGGATATTTTATATGTATATAAGATATACATACATATAGAATTTTGACATATATTGCTAAATTGCCCTCCATAATTATGAAACCAGTGTACACCCTCACTAACAGCATAATGAGGATACCCATCATCCCACTTCTTGACCAACTCTGTGTGCCATCAATTTTATTTTGCTTTGCCTGATAGGTAAAAAAATGGCATTTCTGTACAGTTGTAATCTGCATTTTATTGATTGTATGAGGCTGAGCATTTTTTTTCACATATTTAGTAGCCATTTTTATTTCCTGTGAGAATTGTCCATATCATTGCCTATTTTCCTGTTGATTTACTGGTTGTCATCTTAGTGATCTGTAGGAAATCTTGACAAAGTAAAGAAATTAGCTCTTTGCCTATAGTATAAATTGCAGATATTTTTTCCAGTTCAGTGTTCGCCTTCTGCTTTTATTGGTTTTTGGTGTGAAGATAGTTTTTATTTTCAGGCGGTCGAGTTTATTAACCTTTGATAACTTCTGGGTTTTGTGTCAGAGTTAGGGATTCGTCCAGCAATACTTTACATGCTTTCTACAGTTCTTCCAGCACTTCTATAGTTTTGTTTTTACATTAAAGAATTTCATGTATTTGTTGGGAGGCCGAGGCGAGCGGATCACGAGGTCACGAGATCGAGACCATCCTGGCTAACACGGTGAAACCCCATCTCTACTAAAAAATACAAAAAATTGGCCAGGCGTGGTGGCGGGCGCCTGTAGTCCCAGCTACTCGGGGGCACTGAGGCAGGAGAATGGCGCGAACCCGGGAGTTGGAGGTTGCAGTGAGCCGAGATCGAGCCACTGCACTCCAGCCTGGGCGACAGAGCGAGACTCCGTCTCAAAAAAAAAAAAAAGAATTTGATGTATTTGGAATTTATCCAATGAAAGATTCATCACTTTATTTTGCTCATTGTCTACCTACTTATACATATATATATATATTATTATTTTATTATTAATTTATTTTTTTGAGACAGAGTCTCACTCTGCTGCCCAGACTGGAGTGCAGTGGTATGATCTCAGCTCCCTGCAACCTCTGCTTCCTGAGTCCAAGCAATTCTCCTGCCTCACCCACCCGAGTAACTGGGATTACAGGCGTGCGCCACCATGCCTGGCTAATTTTTGTATTTTTAGTAGAGATGGGGTTTTGCCATGTTAGCCAGGCAGGTCTCAAACTCCTCACCTCAAGTGATCCACCTGCCTTGACCTCCCAAAGTGCTGGGATTACAGGCATGAGCCACCATGCCCGGTCTCATCCCAGTAGTTTTACTGAGTAATCACCATCTTTCCTACATTTACTTGAGTACCATATTTATGGTTATTATTAATCCTTGCCAATTTGATGGTAGAAAAAAGTATTCTTTTTTGTTTGTTTGTGACAGTCCAACTCTGTCACTCAGGCACTATCTCAGCTCACTGCAACCTAACCTCCACCTCCCAGGTTCAAGCCATTCTCATGCCTCAGCCTCCCAAGTAGCTGGGATTACAGGCGCACATTACCATGCCCTGCTATTTTTTTGTATTTTTAGTAGAGACGGGGTTTTGCCATATTGGTCAGGCTGGTCTCGAACTCCTGGCCTCAAGTGATCCACATGCCTCAGCCTCCCAAAGTGCTGGAATTACAGACGTGAGCCACTGCACCCAGCCTAGTATCCCTTTTTTGCGTTCATTTTCATCTATTTGGCTATCCATATGTGAATTAATCATTTGTTTTCTATAACTATTTGTGTTTCTTCTTTTGTGAATTTCTATTTGTGCCACCCACCCTTTGTTATATTCAGGTTGTAGGATATTATGCTTGCAGGTATGTCCCTCAGTTTTTTATCCACCTTCAGTATTGTTTGTGGTTGAAGCTGTATCTGACAAAGTGCTTTTAATACTGATGTCCTCACTTGCTCTTCACAGCTTTGCTCTCAGGTAGTTAAAAGATAAGCTGAAGCACAAAGAGGTTCAGTAACTTTCCCAGTTTCACACAGTCTTCAGTACTAGAGCCCGGAATATCTGAAAAATGTTCTTCAGAGATGCTGGTGTCCATTTATACTTTTAACCAGTTCATTGTTTTGCAGGGAGTGTCACATTCAAGGCCTAACACTGAGGACATGTCACTGTGTCATGCTAACCGCTCGGCAGCCCTCTTCCACCTGGGTCAGTATGAGGTGAGTATCAGGATACCTGGTATGAGAGGACAGGATCCGGAGGGCTTCTTACTGGAGGACTAGACCTTCATCTCTGCTTCTTCCATAGAACACTAAAATCATGTCATGCTGCTATTGGTTGAATTGGAAGCACATTAATATCTACCTAAAGTCGGAC
Organism: Homo sapiens; assembly: GCF_000001405.40. NCBI lineage: Eukaryota > Metazoa > Chordata > Mammalia > Primates > Hominidae > Homo > Homo sapiens. The sequence goes on along the minus strand of NC_000017.11, from coordinate 1,804,468 downwards.
TGGGCGCTCATTGCCTGTAATCTCAGCACTTTGGGAGGTCAAGGCGGGCGGATCACCTGAGGTCAAGAGTTCAAGACCAGCGTGGCCGACACAGTGGAACCCTGTCTCTACTAAAAATACAGGGATAAAAATTAGCCGGGTGTAGTAGCATGCATCTGTAGTCCCAGCTACTCAGGAGGCTGAGGCAGGAGAATCACTCGAACTCGGGAGGTAGAGGTTACAGTGAGCCGAGATCGCACCACTGCACTCCAGCCTGGGTGACAGAGTGAGACTCTATCTCAAAAAAATGTACTAGGCCAGGCACAGTGGCTCATGCCTGTAATCCCAACACTTTGGGAGGCTGAGGCAGGCGGATCATGAGGTCTGGAGTTCAAGACCATCCTGGCCAAAATGGTGAAACCCCATCTCTACTAAAAATACAAAAAATGAGCTGGGCATGGTGGCAGGCACCTGTAGTCCCAGCTACTTCAGTGGCTGAGGCAGGAGTATTGCTTGAACCCAGGAGGCAGAGGTTGCAGTGAGCCCAGATCGCACCACTGCACTCCAGCCTGGCAACAGACTCTGTCTCAAAAAAAAAAAAAACTAACTGAACTCGCCCTTTCTCCTGAGTCATTTCACTGATCACAGGTGACCATATGGGATAGTGTTGATTGACAAGAAAGAGCTATGGGGCCAGGCATGGTGGTTCACGCCTGTAATCCCAGCACTTTGGGAGGCCAAGGCAGACGGATCACTTGAGGTCAGGAGTTCGAAACCAGCCTGGCCAACATGGTGAAACCCCGTCTCTACTAAAAATACAAAAATCAGCTGGGCGGGTGGTGGGCGCCTGTAATCCCAGCTACTCAGGAGGCTGAGGCAGGAGAATCTCTTGAACCTGGGAGGCAGATGTTGCAGTGAGTCAGTGAGCTGAGATCGTGCCACTGCACTCCAGCTTGGGTAAGACAGGACTCTGTCTCAAAAGAGAAAGGAAAGAGCGAGCTATGGGACATTCCATGGGGATGTGGACTGTCCAAGAGGTCAGCAGTGTTCAGTGTCAGGATCAGCCAAGTGACATGTTGCTGCTAATACTTCAGGTTCCAAGTGTTTGCAAAGTATACTGTTTGCTGCTTTAAATAAGTAGAGCGTGTTTAAGATTATCCCTGTAGTAATAGCTCAGCCTTCTTAAGTGTCGTGAGTGCAAAAGGAAAACCTACCTTGAACTGCCCGTGTCTGCCTGTGAGGTCAGCTTTCTGTGAATGACATTCTTCTCATCCCCTAATTGTTGCAACAGAGAAAAAGTTGAGGACTTTGTCAGTGGAGTTTTTGTTTTGTTTTGTTTTGTTTTTTTGAGACAGTGTCTCGCTCTGTCGCCCAGGCGTCAGTGCAGTGGCGTGATCTCTGCTCACTGCAACCTCCGCCTCCCGGGTTCAACGATTCTCCTGCCTCAGCCTCTGAGTAGCTGGGACTACAGGCGTGCACCACCACGCCCGGCTAATTTTAAGTAGAGATGGCGTTTCACCATGTTGGTCAGGCTGGTCTCAAACTCCTGACCTTGTGATCCTCCCGCCTCAGCCTCCCAAAGTGCTGGGATTACAGGCGTGAGCCACTGCGCCCAGCCGTGTCAGTTGAGTTTTTAAAACAGGAAGTGACCAAAATCGGATTAATGTTTTAGGAGGATACCTCTGAGGCATCTGGCATTTGTATTAGAGAGGTCTAAGGACAAGCTCTAAAATGCCATTTTGATACATCTGTTTCAACATTCTACAAAAATTCAAATTATACCCTAGGGTTGAGAACTATTGGAATAGTAAGAAGTCCACACTTACTGCCCTTCAGACTAAAAGAGAAAAGCAGGAATCTAACCCTTGACCCTAAACAAGAAAGTCCTGGACTGCTGAGGCCAGTGATTAGGAAAAAGAACTTGCAATACATTGAACCCTTTATAACTTTTCTTTATTGATTGTTTCTGTTTTCCTTTTTCTTTATTTTTTTTTATTTTTGAGACAGGGTCTCTGTTACCCAGGCTGGAGTGCAGTGACTCGATCATAGCTAACTGTGATCTCAAACTCCTGGGCTCAAGCAGTCTTCCTGCTTTAGTCTCATGAGTAGCTAGGACTACAGGTATGTGCCACCAGGCCTGGCTAATTGTTTAATTTTTTTATAGAGCCCAGGGTCTCATCTGTGTTGTCCGGGTTGGTCTCAAACTCCTGGACTCAAGTGATCCGCCCACCTCGGTCTCCCATAATGCTGGGATTACAGGCGTGAGCCACCATGCCCAAATGTTTTCCTTCTTATAATAATGATTATCATTTATTGAGCACATACTGTGTTCCAGGTGCTCCTTTTGGCATGTTAGATATATTATTTCCTTTTATCCTTAAAACAACACTGGGAGATATTATTATCCCTGTTTTTTAGATAAAATTAAGACACAGAAATTAAGTCGATTGCACAAGGTCATGTGGCTAGTAAGAGGCAGAGTGTATTTGGTTTTTTGTTTGTTTGTTTGTTTTTGAGACAGAGTGTCGCTCTGTCACCCAGGCTGGAGTTCAGTGGCATGATCTCGGCTCGCTGCAACCTCAGCCTCCCAGGTTCAAGCGTTTCTCCTGCCTCAGCCTGCTGAGTAGCTGGGACTACAGGCGCCCACCACCACGCCCAGCTAATTTTTTGTGTTTTTAGTAGAGATGGGGTTTCACCATGTTAGCCAGGATGGTCTCGATCACCTGACCTCGTGATCTGCTCGCCTCGGCCTCCTAAAGTGCTGGGGTTACAGGCATGAGCCACCGCACCCGGCCAGCAGAGTGTATTTGAATGCAGGTCTGCTTGGACTCAAAGCCTGCCTCTTTTTTTTTTTTTTTTTTTTTCAAAGCCTGCCTGTTAGTCACCATGCTATAATTCTTCTATTCATAAGACTTCTTTTTCCTTAAAAAATAGAAATATTTAATCCAGGGGCTGGGCGCAGTGGCTCATGCCTGTAATCCCAGCACTTTGGGAGGCTGAGGCGGGCGTATCATGAGGTCAGGAGATCGAAACCATCCTGGCTAACATGGCAAAACCCCGTCTCTACTAAAAATACAAAAAAAAATAGCTGGGTGTGGTGGCGGGCACCTGTAGTCCCAGCTACTCAGGAGGCTGAGGCAGGAGAATGGCGTGAACCCAGGAGGTGGAGCTTGCAGTGAGCCAAGGTCGCACCACTGCAATCCAGCCTGGGCGACAGAGCGAGACTCCGTCTCAAAAAAAAAGAAAAAATTTAATCCAAAAACATTAAGCATAACAATATCCTCAACAAGTATTGCTAATCACTCAAAGGATCACACAGAACTATATGATTTTAATAAGCATGTGGTTGTAATTGTTCCATTTTTTAATAATCCTTAACTTTCCTGTAGATTTTTGGAAACATTTTCAGTAAACATTGAAGAATAGGGACCAAGGGTCATTGTGGGATTTTCTTTCTGTTTTCAGACGTGTCTTAAAGACATTAACAGAGCACAGACACATGGGTATCCAGAAAGGTTGCAACCCAAGATTATGTTACGTAAAGCAGAATGTCTGGTGGCCCTGGGGAGACTGCAGGAGGCAAGCCAGACCATCAGTGATCTTGAAAGGAACTTCACAGCCACACCAGCCCTAGCAGATGTCCTCCCTCAGACTCTGCAGAGAAACCTCCATCGTCTGAAAATGAAGATGCAAGAAAAGGACAGTCTCACAGAAAGCTTCCCAGCAGCTCTGGCCAAAACCCTTGAGGATGCAGCGCTGAGGGAGGAGAATGAACAACTTTCCAATGCCTCATCATCCATCGGCTTATGCGTAGATCCTTTAAAAGGTCGCTGTCTCGTTGCCACAAAAGATATTCTCCCAGGAGAGCTCCTGGTGCAGGAGGATGCTTTTGTGAGTGTTCTCAACCCAGGAGAACTGCCACCACCGCATCACGGCCTAGACAGCAAATGGGACACCAGAGTCACCAATGGGGACCTCTATTGTCACCGATGTTTGAAGCACACTTTGGCCACAGTTCCGTGTGACGGATGCAGTTATGCCAAGTATTGCAGCCAGGAGTGTTTGCAGCAGGCCTGGGAGCTCTACCACAGGACAGAATGTCCTCTGGGAGGGCTGCTTCTCACACTGGGTGTCTTTTGCCACATTGCCCTGAGGTTGACTCTTTTGGTGGGATTTGAGGATGTTCGCAAAATCATAACGAAGCTTTGTGATAAGATTAGTAACAAGGACATCTGTTTACCTGAAAGCAACAATCAGGTCAAGACACTTAATTATGGCCTAGGGGAGAGTGAGAAAAATGGCAACATCGTTGAGACCCCAATTCCTGGATGCGATATTAATGGGAAGTATGAAAATAATTATAATGCTGTCTTCAACCTTTTGCCCCACACTGAAAACCATAGCCCAGAGCACAAATTCCTCTGTGCTCTCTGTGTTTCTGCACTGTGCAGACAGCTAGAAGCAGCCAGTTTACAGGCCATCCCAACTGAGAGGATTGTGAACTCCTCTCAGCTTAAAGCAGCAGTGACACCTGAATTGTGTCCTGACGTGACTATTTGGGGAGTGGCGATGCTGAGACACATGTTACAGCTTCAGTGTAACGCTCAGGCGATGACCACCATACAACACACAGGTAAGAGGGAACCTGATGTTCCTGCTTTTCAATATTGTTCTCGATGGAGCAGGTGTTTGAGAAGAAACAATTCCAAAGGAAAATAGGATTCAAACAAATCATTGAGCTAATGGGATCACTAAGCTGTCTTGTTTATTGTCACAATGCCATTAAGAAGCTATATGACCTTAAATTATTTGATCCTGCCAGGCGTGGTGGCCCACTCCTATAATCCCAGCACTTTGGGAGGCCGAGGTGAGCAGATCACAAGGTCCAGAGATCAAGACCATCCTGGCCAACATGGTGAAACCCCGTCTCTACTAAAAATAAAAATAAAAAAATTAGCTGGGCATGGTGGTACATGCCTGTAGTCCCAGCTACTCGGGAGGCTAAGACAGGAGAATCACCTGAACCCGGGAGGTGGAGGTTGCAAATGAGCCGAGATCGTGCCACTGCACTCCAGCCTGGCGACAGAGTGAGACTCCATCTCAAAAAAAAAAAAAATTATTTGATTCCGTTCTGCCTCAGTTTCTCATCTGTAAAATGGGTAGTTTTATCCCAGCTAACTTTACAGAGTTGTGTAAAGCTATGTTTGTAAAAATTCTTTTTTTTTTTTTGAGACGGAGTCTCACTCTGTCACCCCCAGGCTGGGGTGCAGTGGCGTGATCTCAGCTCACTGCAAGCTCTGCCTCCCAGGTTCACGCCATTCTCCTGCCTCAGCCTCCCCAGTAGCTGGGACTACAGGCGCCCGCCACCACGCCCGGCTAATTTTTTGTATTTTTAGCAGAGACGGGGTTTCACCATGGTCTCGATCTCCTGACCTCGTGATCCGCCCGCCTCAGCCTCCCAAAGTGCTGGGATTATAGGCATGAGCCACCGTGCCTGGCTGTTTGTAAAAATTCTTTTGAAATTCTTTAAAAAGTCCATATTGCTGAAAAAAAATTTATTTTTTATTTTACTTTATTTATTTATTTTTTTTTTGAGACAGAGTCTTGCTCTTTCCCAGGCTGGAGTGCAGTGGCGCAATCTCAGCTCACTGTAGCCTCCACCTCCCAGGTTCAAATGATTCTCATGCTCAGCCTCCCAAGTAGCTGAGATTACAAGCATGCGCCACCATGCCTGGCTAATTTTTTTGTGTTGTTAGTAGAGACGGGGTTTTGCCATGTTGGCCAGGTGGGACTTGAACTCCTGGCTTCAGGTGATCCACCTGCTTTGGCCTCCCAAAATGCTGAGATTACAGGCATGAGCCACTGCACCTGGCCTTTTAAAATTTTTTTAATAGAGATGAGGACTTGCTATGTGGCCCAGGCTGGTCTTGAACTCCTGGGCTCAAGCAATCCTCCCGCCTCAGCCTCCCCAAGTGCTGGGATTACAGGTGTGAACCACTGCACTCAACCCGAATTTTTTTGGTTATGAAGGAAAACTGTCTCAAATAAATAGTAATAGCAAGTTTCTTATAAGGTACATACACAAAAGGCCTGACACAGTACGCCTGTAATCCCAGCACTTTGGGAGGCCGGGGTGGGTCAAATCACTTACTTGAGCTCAAGAGTTCAAGACTAGCCTGGAAAGCATGACAAAATACAAAAATTAGCCAGGTACGCCTCTAATCCCAGCCACTTGGGAGGCTGAGGCAGGAGAATCACTTCAGCCCAGGAGGCAGAGGTTGCAGTGAGCCATGATCGCACCGATGCACTCCAGCCTGGGTGAAACCCTGTCTCAAGAGAAAAAAAAAAAAAATACATGCACAAGATTCCAGAGAAAGCTATATAGTTTCTCTTTAGGGAGGGCAGAAATAATAGTCAAACCAGACTGCAGAAAGAAGAGGCCCAGTAGTTGGGTAAGGTATCAAAGTCCTTTTTTTCTTTTTTTTTCTGAGATGGAGTGTTGCCCTGTCACCCAGGCTGGAGTGCGGTGGCACAATCTCGGCTCACTGCAACCTCTGTCTGCCAGGTTCAAGCGATTCTCCTGCCCCAGCCTCCCGAGTAACTGGGATTACAGGCGTGCACCCCCACGCCCAGCTAATTTTTGTATTTTTAGTAGAGATGGGGTTTTACCATGTTGGCCAGGCTGGTCTCGAACTCCTGACCTCAGGTGAGCCACCCACCTTGGCCTCCCAAAGTGCTGGGATTACAGGCGTGAGCCACCGTGCCCGGCCAGATATCAGACCCTTAACTCAATCAGCTACTCTCTGTCTTCTCTTTCCAATTGAGAGATATTTCCCATTCTTCTAAATTTCCAGCCCAGCGCAGCCTTCCACCCCACACTGCAGCAGAAGCTGCCAGCCTGCATAGTGCCTGTCCTTTGATCAGGTGGCCAAACCTCAAGGGGCCACCTCTAAACACAGACGAGCTGGCTCAGCCTGCTTTCCTGAACTGGAGCCTATAGATAACACTACTTAAGATAGATGGGAAGGTTGGATGTGCCGAGAATCATGATCCAGCTTGACATCTCCAGTGTGACTGTGCTGACAACAGATACAACTATTATTAGAAAAGTGGCATTTGTAGTCTTTCTATTTTATGATCTTCATTTTAGCAGAAAATGTTTTTTGACTCAATCCGTTCATTATACTTTTCTTAATTTTTTCAATTAACTCTCTTGAGAGGGAGGAAACCAGGTGTTAGCTAAACCGAGTTTTTATAGACAGATGAATATTAAATGTGGCTTCACTAAACTCTACATGCTTAGCTCATTTGATCTCACATTAGGTCATCTAGAATTTGTCAGCCTATTTTGGTGTGCATGTTTATGTTTAATTTTAATTCAGCAGGCAAGTTATATGGTATATAGGTATCTCAGTAGACATGTTTTGGCCAAGATTCTCTTCCCCATCCTGAAGCTCGTGGAACATCTAAAAATAGGACTGGCCTGGTCCCATGATACTACTAAATCACATGTCAGGTTAGCCTGTGTTTTCCTCTGCCCTCCTTTGCTTCTTTGTGCCTTTGCTACCATCTAAAATATAGCTGCTGAGTATTTTTCCAGAATTAGGTTCTCCTTTGGGTATATTCACTTGTATTTTTTAATATACTTTACTTTGTTCTGTTTTTCTGAACATAAAAATATATGGGGCTTCCCAATTAAATAGCAGAAAGTTACCAACTCTTGATTCCATGTCTTGCCTTTAAAATACTTAATAGGGCTGGGCGCGGTGGCTCATACCTATTATCCCAGCACTTTGGGAGGCCGAGGCGGGCGGATCTCGAGGTCAAGAGATCAAGACCATCCTGGCCAACGTGGTGAAACCCCATCTCTACTAAAAATACAAAAATTAGCTGGGCATGGCAGCGGGCGCCTGTAGTCCTAGCTACCTGGGAGGCTGAGGCAGGAGAATTGCTTGAACCTGGGAGGTGGGGGTTACAGTGAGCCGAGATCACGCCACTGCACTCCAGCCTGGTGACAGAGGGAGACTCCATCTCAAAAAAAAAAGAATACCTGAAGCCAGCCGCAGTGGCTCACACCTTTAACCTCAGCATTTTGGGAGGCTGAGGTGGGCGGATTGCTTGAGCCCAGGAATTTGAGACCATCCTGGGCAACAGAGCAAGACCCATCTCTACAAAAAAAAAAAAAAAAAACAGCCAGGCATGGTGGCATGTGCCTGTGGTCCCAGCTACTTGGGAAGCTGAGGCAGGAGGATTGCTTGAGCCGAAGAGTTCGAGGCTTCAGTGAGACATGAGTTGCGCCACTGCACTAGAGCCTGGGCAACAGAGAGAGACCCTGTCTCAAAAAGAAAAAAGAAAAATACATGCTTATTCTGTGGCTAATGAAAACTGGAAGAATAGATACATATCGTAATACTGGCTACTTGGGGTCATGGAAAGTGGTTTGGAGACATCGGCTTTATCTATGAGGTTCTAATGTTTTATGCATAATTTATTGTTTATGTAATGTTTTAAAAATATATACATAGAAGAAACAGTAGAAGCAAAAATACCAAAATCTGAGCAGTGATTAATTCTGAAAGTGGAAATACAGGTGATTGCTACTTTCTTCTTTGAACTTTTCTGATTTTTTAACATTAAAAACACTTATTCACACAGTGGTACCATTATACTATTAAATTTTAAAATGATTGTATACCTTTCCCATAATTCTAGAGGAAAATACTTAAAAAAAAAAAAAAAAAACTCACGGGCCAGGCACAGTGGCTCATGCGTGTAATCCCAGCACTTTGGGAGGCCAAGGCAGGTGGATCACCTGAGGTCAGGAGTTCGAGACCAGCCTGGCCAACATGGTGAAACCCGTCTCTATTAAAAATACAAAAATTAGCTGTGCGTGATGGCAGGTGCCTGTAATCCCAGCTACACGGGAGGCTAAGGCATGAGAATTGCTTGAACTTGGAAGGTAGAGGTTGCAGTGAGCTGAGATCGTGCCACTGTACTCCAGCCAGGGTGACACAGCAAGTCTCTTAGATAGATAGATAGATGATTAGATAGATAGATAGATAGATAGATAGATAGATAGATAGAGCTGAGATCGTGCCACTGTACTACAGCCAGGGTGACAGAGCAAGTCTCTTAGATAGATAGATAGATGATTAGATAGATAGATAGATAGCCAGGGCGACAGAGCAAGTCTCTCTCAGATAGACAGACCAGACAGACAGACAGAAGGCTGAGGCAGGAGGAACACTTGAGCCCTGGAGTTCGAGACCAGCCTGGGCAACATAGCAAGACCCCACCCACTGGGAACAACAACAAACAGAGAACAGCCTGTTTCTATACTGTGTAAACTGCTCCAGCCTGTGGGGAAACCTAGAACTCTTTCCCAGTCATTTTAGAAAGCCGGTGATAAAAGCTAGAGACCAGTCTCACTTGTGAATGTAGATGTAGAAACCCTGGATAAACCACTGCAGTGTCATATCTAGCAGTTTATTGAAGGAATAATAATACATAACCAAGAAGAGTTTCTCCCAGAAAGGCAAAGGTATTTTAATTCGGAGGGATATGAAAGACGGCTTCGATAACCACAGAGACATGCCATGTTCTTAATGGAAAGACTGAAAACTTTGAGTTTCCTGCATTAACCTAATCAGTTTCATACCATTTCAAACAGAATCACAGTTGAGTTTTTCTGGGAACTTGACAACATTCTAAATTCATCTTGAATAAATGGGTGAGAATAGCCTTTTTTTTTTTTTAAGAGAACTGAAAGGTCTTGGTACTGTCAGATTTCATACGAGCATTAAAGCTACAAAATGAAAAACAACTGGAAACTGATGACAGCCCCCCAAAAAGGATTAGAGTCTTTTTCAAATCATTAACAACTTAAATATTTCAGAATTAAACCATCAATTATCTAGTTAAAGGTAAGTGAACATTTATGTAGTCTTAGGGTGGGAGAGGCTTTTTAAAATACTATAGAATGTCAAATTTAGGTAATTAAAAGATAGCTAGATTTAACTACTTAGGTACCAAATACCAAGAACACCATAATTGGTTAGGAAGATAAAGGATGGCCGGGCGTGTTGGCTCAGGCCTGTAATCCCAGCACTATGGGAGGCTGAGGTGGGTGGATCACAAGGTCAGGAGATCGTGTCCATCCTGGCTAACACGGTGAAACCCCGTCTCTACTAAAAATACAAAAAAAAAAAAAAAATTAGCCTGGTGTGGTGGTGGGCGCCTGTAGTCCCAGCTACTTGGGAGGCTGAGGCAGGAGACTGGCGTGAACCTGGGAGGCGGAGGTTGCAGTGAGCCAAGATCACACCACTGTACTCCAGCCTGGGTGACAGAGCAAAACTCCATCTCAAAAAAAAAAAAAAAAAAAAAATATATATATATATATATATATATACACATATATATACACATATATATACACACATATATATATACATACATATATATATACACACATATATATATATACATATATATATACACAAAAATTAGCCAAGCGTGGTGGTGGATGCCTGTAGTCCCAGCTACTAGGGAGGCCAAGGCAGGAGAATCGCTTGAATCTGGGAGGTGGAGGTTGCAGTGAGCCGAGATCACACCACTGCACCCCAGCCTGGGCAACGAGTGAAACTTCCTCTCAAAAAAAAAACACTGCACTGAGAGGCAGAAGACCTAATCTCCTGAACCTCTGTGTATCTCAGTGTCATCATGGACATGATGAGACTGGATAAGCCTCAGAGCCTCTGGGGAAGGCTGTTTGCAAACATGACCACAGTTTCTCCCATCCCTATAAGTTGCCTCTTTGCAGCTTGACATTGCTGCTTCTCTTGTCAAGAAGTGGAGATTTTTTTCCCCTCTCCTTGAATCTGGGCTAGCTCTGTAACTTGCTTTGACCAATAGACAGAAGTGACCTGATGTGACTTTTGAGTCTAAGCCTTAATTGCCTCCACTGTCACCGTCTTGGAGTGATAGTGTAGCCCTGTGAACAAGCCTGGGCTGGCTTCCTTGAGGATAAAAGACCAGGTGCCACAGAAAGGCAGTCATGTGAGTCAGCCCCAGGCAAAACCAGCAGAAAAAAAAAAAATACTCAGCTGAGCCAAAACTGCCGGGGTACAGAATTGTGAACAAGTGAAATTGTCATTGTTTTAACAATCCCCCCAAAAAAACCTCATAAACAAAAATTAGATGTAAATGGACAAAATGAGGGAATATCTCTAGCAACTATACAGCTCTTAAAATCAACTTTTAAAAATATGCATAGCGGCCAGGCACAGTGGCTCACACCTATAATCCCAGCACTTTGGAAGGCTGAGGCAGGAGGATTACTTGAGCCCACGAGTTAGAGACCACCCGGGGCAACATGGCTAAACTCTGTGTCTACAAAAATACAAAAATTAGCTGAGTGTGGTGGTGCGCGCTTGTGGTCTCAGCTACCCGGGAGTCTGAGGTGGGACAGCGGCTCGGGCCCAGGAGGTCGAGGCCGCCGTGAGCTGAGATCACCCCATTGCAACAGAGTGAGACCCTGTCTAAAAAATAGCAAGATAAAAATAAAAACATGCATAATGATGAAAATCTAAAGCCGGGTTGTGGTACTGTTTGCCCAATCTTATAAATTTCCCCCCAAAAAAGCACTGAATCGTACACTTAAGTGAATTTTACGGTAGATGGATTCTATCTCAGTACAGCTGTTGAAAGCACACGTGAGCAAGCACTGTATCGAAGTAGATAGTGATAAGTAAAAACGGTCACTCTCTAACCTCTCTAGTAATTAAAACCAGATACCTTTGTTGGCCTGTCACGGCAGCAGAGTTGTTTTACTGGTTTTGTTTTTGTTTTTTGAGACAGGGCCTCTGTCTGTTGCCCAGGCTGGAGTGCAGCGGCGTGATCTCAGCTCACTGAAGCCTCGACCTCCAGGGTTCAACTGATCCTCCCTCCTCAGGCACCCAAGTAGCTGGGCTCAGGTGTGCACCACACCGGGCTAACTTTTGTATGTTTAGTAGAGACAGGGTTTCACCGTGTTAGCAAGGTGGTCTCCATCTCCTGACCTCGTGATCCGCCCACCTTGGCCTCCCAAAGTGCTGGGATTACAGGGGTGAGCCACCGTGCCCGACCTGTATTTTTAATTCTAAAATGCATTTTAGGCCAGGCGTGGTGGCTCAAGCCTGTAATCTCAGCACTTGAGGAGGCCGAGGTGGGAGGATCACGAGGTCAGGAGATCGAGACCATCCTGGCTAACGTGAAACCCCGTCTCTACTAAAAATACAAAAAATTAGCCGGGCGTGGTTGCGGGCGCCTGTAGTCCCAGCTACTCTGGAGGCTGAGGCAGGAGAATGGTGTGAACCCAGGAGGCGGAGCTTGCACTGAGCCGCGATCGCGCCCCTGCACTCACTCCAGCCTGGGCGACAGAGCGAGACCCCGTCTCAAAAAAAAAAAAAATGTATTTTAGGTTAGGATTTAAAGATAACATGTTATATCTGCCTGATGGCATTACAAGCAACTGTCATTTTCTCTGTAATGTTCAATTTTTAAATTTTTTTCTGACTACCACGTATTCCTTTTGTAATTTCAATTAGTGGTTTTTTGTTTGTTTTTGAGACAGGGTCTCACTCTGTCACTTAGGCTGGAGTGCAGTGGGGCGATCGTAGCTCACTGTAACCTCAAACTCCTGGGCTCAAGCGATCCTCCCACCTCTGCCTCCCAAAGTGCTGGGATTACAGGCGTGAGCCACTGCGCCCAGCCTCAGTTAGTTTTTTTAATAATAAAGATAATTCAAATGATAAGAGTACTTTTCTATGAACATTTTTAAGGCACTTGATACAGCTTGCAAAATTGCCCTCCAGGAAAGTTCCACTGACGCGCCCACCAGCAAGGTTCACTTTCATTGTTAAATTTCATCTCATTTTCTTTTAGTCTGCTCATATTTCTAATCTTGTTATATCCCTTTTTATTATTTCTTTGGGGTTCCAATCCCTCTCAATTTAGTGTTCTCATTGAATTTCATTAGCAGCTGTTTCATTAGTAGTACAGGCAAAGGATTAAAGTGTTAACTAGGATAGACTTTGACAAAAACCTATAAAAATGTATGTTATTATCTTTGCATAAATCCTGTTTAATCAAAGTTCCCCAGAAACCTCTCACTAGGGCTTATCTCAAGGGACAGAACTGGCCACTGATGATTTTCTAGACCGTGACACGTGTGGTTCTGTCTCAGTGGGAATGGCATATTTATGATCTATCCGGATTCCTGTCATAACAAGATTTTATTGGGGTTCTGTGTCCTGTCACTTCCCATCAATTCACTGCCCATTGCTTTCACTCTTCAGCATTGAAGGAATCTATCTTTTTTTTTTTTTTTTTTTTTTGAGACGGGCCAGCCCAGGCTGGAGTGCAGTGGCGCGATCTCGGCTCACTGCAAGCTCCACCTCCCGGGTTCACTCCGTTCTCCTGCCTCAGCCTCCCGAGTAGCTGGGACTACAGGCGCCCACCACCATGCCCGGCTAATTTTTTTGTATTTTTAGTAGAGACGGGGTTTCGCCGTGTTAGCCAGGAAGGTCTCGATCTCCTGACCTCGTGATCCACCCGCCTGGGCCTCCCAAAGTGCTGGGATTACAGGCGTGAGCCACCGCGCCCGGCATGAATCTTTTTTCTTTACTTGAATCCCAGTTTAAATGCACCAGGGATGGGCATGGCTTAGCCAGCACTTTGGGAGGCCAAGGTGGGTGGATCACGAGGTCAGAAGTTCGAGACTAGCCTGACTAACATGCTGAAACCTGTCTTCTACTAAAAATACAAAAATGAGCTGAGTGTGGTGATGGGCGCCTGTAATCCCAGCTACTCAGGAGGCTGAGGCAGGAGAATCGCTTGAACCCAGGAGGCGGAGGTTGCAGTGAGATGAGATCATGCCACTGCATTCCAGCCTAGGCGACAGAGTGAGACTACATCTGAAAAATAAATAAATAAAAAGAAATGCACTAGGGATATTAGCAAGGTACTGTTTTGGTATAGAATCACTCCCTCTTTATTTTAATACAAAATGTCACAGATTAAATTTGGTTGAGGAACTACATACATATTCTCACTTTCTATTATCTCTACTAATAGATGATTAATGCACAATACTGAGTAATTTTTAAAAATCAATACTTAATTTTTTAGAAATAATTAGAGAGCTATTCAACTCTGACATAAATACCCACACGGTTCCTGGGCCTACTTCTGTCAGAGGGTAATCTATAAATAATTCACAAAGCTGACATTACTCACTGTAGTGTGATCATTCTTTTCTGGAAAATTTTAGCAATGGTTCTAATATAGATTGCCAGTTATCAGTAGTTGGCAATGCAAGTCCACTTTTAATTATGCAGAGGCTGATTATTCAGACGACAAATTGTTCATGCCCTGGACGGCTCCTTCCTGCCACCTGCCTTTTAGCATTTTCACTGCTCATTAGCACATATACCAGAAGGTGGGCACCGGACAAGGGGGAGAAGAAGAAACAAAAATCAGCGAAGCACTTAGGAGAAGCTCTGATGAAAGATTTTAATACAATTTGTAGAATTATTAACTAGAATTGAGTCATTTGGATTCCCTGCAAAATGTATTTACTTGTTCTATTCTTGTTCTCCTTAGCAACAGATAGTAAAATTGACAACAAAATTGACAACATTATTCCTATATTCAGTGTTTTCCTTTATAAAACTTTTTTTTTTTTTTTGAGACAGAGTCTCGCTCTTTCACCCAGGCTGGAGTGCAGTGGTGCGATCTCGGCTCACTGCAACCTCCACCTCCCAGTTTCAAGCGATTCTCCTGCTTCAGCCTCCCGAGTAGCAGGGATTACTGGTGCACGCCACCACGCTCAGCTAAGTTTTTATATTTTTGGTAGAGACGAGGGTTCACCATGTTGGCCAAGCTGGTGTTGAACTCCTGACCTCAAGTGATCTGCCCGCCTTGGCCTCCCAAAGTGCTGGGATTACAGGCGTGAGCCTCTGCACCTGGCCTATAAAACATTTTCACATAATGGTTCATAATATTTTCTTTATCCATTACATTTGTACCTAGACTATTTCTTTGGTGAATTTGTTTTTTTTGTTTTGCGAGACAGTTTTGCTCTGTCACCCAGGCTGGAGTGCAGCAGTGTGATCTGGGCTCACTGCAACCTCCTCCTCCTGGATTCAAGCAATTCTCGTACCTCGCCTCCCGAGTAGCTGGGACTACAGGCGCATGCCACCATGCCCAGCTAATTTTTGTGTTTTTAGTAGAGACAGGGTTTTGCCATTTTGGCCAGGCTACTCTCGAACTTCTGACCTCAGGTGATCCACCCGCCTCGGCCTCCCAAAGTGCTGGGATTACAGGCATGAGCCACCATGCCCAGCCTGGTGAGTGGTTTTTTTGAGATTCCTGGCATATATTCGGTGATATCACAGTTATTTGATGGTTTTTTTCCAGTTTTCCAGAAAACTGAATGTTTCCTTTTAAATACTGGTATTTTTTATCTTCCAACCTGTTTTGTTAGAAACACAATTTGCCTCATGCTTAAATTGAGACTACTGAAGATAATTTAAGCGTTTCTGTGTGCCCAAGGTTATCTTTACTGTACATACTCCTAGGACAGATGGCTTTGAGAAAAGCCAGCACAGGTAGAGCCTCTGGCTAAGTGAAGTGTTACAGGTGGACTTTTAAAGTGCTAATTATCCACCATGCTTTCTTTTCTGAAATGAACAAATTTTTTTTTTTTTGGAGGCGGGGTCTCACTCTTGTTGTCTAGGCTGGAGTGCAGCAGCACGATCTTGGCTCACTGCAACGTCCTCAGGGGTTCAAGCGATTCTCCTGCCTCAGCCTCCTGAGTAGCTGGGACTACAGGCACGTACCACCACACCCAGCTAATTTTTTGTGTTTTTAGTAGAGACGGGATTTCACCGTGTTAGTCAGGATGGTCTCGATCTCCTGACCTTGTGATCTGCCCGCCTCGGCCTCCCAAAGTACTGGGATTACAGGCGTGAGCCACCGCGCCCGGCCAAAATGAACAAAATTTTAAAGTAAACTATGGGCCTGAAAAGACCAAAAAAGAAAAAAATAATAAATGTTACAATTAGAGTAAAACTTTTTTTAAATTTTTATTTATTTTTCTTCAGACAGGGCCTGCTCTGTCACCCAGGCTGGAGTGCAGTGGTGCAATCCTGGCTCACTGCAGCCTCGCTCTCTAGGGCTCAACTGATCCTCCCACCTCAGCCTCCTGAGTAGCTGGGACTACAGGTGTGCACCACCACAGCTGGCTAATATTTTAATTTTTTTTTTTTAGAGACCAAATCTAGCTGTGTTGTCCAGGCTGGCCTTGAACTCCTGGGCTCAAGCAATTCTTCTGCGTGAGCCTCGGGATTTCAGGCAGGAGCCCTG
Source organism: Homo sapiens (assembly GCF_000001405.40). Lineage (NCBI taxonomy): Eukaryota > Metazoa > Chordata > Mammalia > Primates > Hominidae > Homo > Homo sapiens. Next base: position 1,788,085 of record NC_000017.11, on the reverse strand, counting down.
GTGCCTGGCCTGCTTAAATATATAAAGTTTGGGGTAGTAACTAGGTCGCTTGTTCTGTTAACCAACCAAAGACCAGATAAACAAAAGCCCTTGGGCTCTAAAAGTCTTTGGGAAGTCACCTCAACAGGGGCTCTGGTTTCTATGTGAGAACATTATGAAACTATCTAGAACGCTCCCTACTTATCATCCCTTTTTTATTACTTCTTTATAAGTTCTTATCTTTGGCTATTTCGTGGTGTAGAGACACAGTCGTTAGGTTCCAGGACTCCAGTGGACTTTGTGTGCGTTCATCCACTTTGCTTCCTGGGGACTGGAGCTTGCCGTGAGTCATGTCCCATCTGATTTATATTGGATCTGGCTGTGGAGCCATGACTCACACGGGCTGCAGGCCTAGCTGCCCAGCTCATCTTCTGAGGAACAGAGGGCAAGGCCAGGGCTCATGTGCTGACACCTTTTTCCTTCTTTCCTCTTGCCCTTTCAGGACCTAAAGGGAGCATCGTTACCGACAGCAGGCAGGTGCGCCTTGCCACAGGCATCTTCCCTGTTATCAGCCTCCTGAACCACTCCTGTAGCCCCAACACCAGCGTGTCCTTCATTAGCACTGTCGCCACCATCCGGGCGTCACAGCGGATTAGAAAGGGGCAAGAGATTCTCCACTGCTATGGTGAGCCATCCCTCCGCACTGCCATCCTGCCCTTCTCCAACAGAAAAGGACGGGGACGCAAGTCAGCAAGCCACCAGGCATGTGACTTCACCTGTCTACTGTCTGCTTCCTGGAAGAGGCAGTGAACACTTAGGCCAAAAACAAGGAAGGGAGGATGGAAGGAATGGCCTTCGTGCTAGGGCCCTATTGCGGCTAAACTATGTCTCGCTGTTTAATCACTATAAACTTCCTATTCTGAAAATGGGCTAGGAACAACTTCTTGGCTTCTCTTTCTTCCTGTCTCAGCAACTTGGAAGCTTATTTTAGTATCCAGTTCCACAAATATTTGGGTAAAGGTTAGCTGTCACATGATAGGTAATTGTCCAGACCCTCTGCTAAGCTGAAGGTTTTTACGTAGTGTTTGACTCTCTCTTGCTTTCAATATTGGCTGACGGTGATCTCCCTCCAGGGCCTCACAAGAGCCGGATGGGGGTTGCCGAAAGGCAGCAGAAGCTGAGGTCTCAGTATTTCTTTGACTGCGCCTGTCCAGCTTGTCAAACTGAGGCACACAGGATGGCTGCAGGGCCCAGGTGGGAAGCATTCTGTTGCAACAGTTGCGGAGCGCCCATGCAGGTAATTCTCTCTTCTGTCTCCTCCACTTTTCCTGGAGGTCAGTTTTCCACCCCAAGGGTGATCAGTGTTTAGGAGGAAGCCATCAGGGACTTGTAAGTGCTGAGACCAGTAATATCACCTCCATTTTAGCCAGTCATCCCCATACACTAGTTCCCCTCCAGAGAAACCACAGGGAAAGGTTCAATTTAGTAATGTTTCCTTTATAAAGGACAGAAGATCCCATCTGAACTGGTTTGGGATCTGGGGGAGACTGGGAATTTATTTGCTGAAGTCAGTCATTGAAAAGTCCCAGGATAGGCTGGGCACAGTGACACATGCCTATTATCCCAGCACTTTGGGAGGCTGAGGTGGACAGATCACTTGGAGGCCAGGGGTTCAAGACCAGCCTGGGCAACATAGCAAGACCCTGTCTCTACCAAAAAAAATGTTATGAGAAAAATTCCAGGATAAGGCTGCTTAAGATACAGCTTGATCCAGGGGCTTTCTGTCCACCCCTCTCAGCTTCATTTTCTCTGTGTTAGCCCATCCTCAGATAGACTTCCCTCTTACGATGCAGGATGGCTGCCAGCAGCCCAGCCTGCGGATTTCCTGCCAAGGAGGATAAGAGCACATGCCACTCAAACAGCAGCCTGGGCAGAGATGTTACTGTGTTTCATTGACCTGAGAACTGTGGCTGGAGGAAAATTAGACATAGTTTTCCTCCAGCCATTTGGGCCAGAGGAAGGAGCCATATGTGAGCCACATGCCACACCCTCAGCTGTAGGGCAAGGGCCATGGGACTGAGGGTGAGAGGGATCCTTATGAGAAACTGGGTTGGGTTGCTGTTGCCAAATGAGAAAATAGATATCGGCCTTTGAAACACAGCAGATGTCCACCTCGGAGGTTTCCCCTCTGCCACAAGTGCCGTATTCTTCTTAGGGGAGTCATGAGTGAAAGGCAGAGCCGGTTGTGTTAGAAAGCTAAACTTGGAGACCCAAGGTCAAATGTAGGACGATCGCACCTAGCACCTTTTTCTATTAGTTTTTTTTTTTTTCTTTTTTTTTTTTGAGATGGGGTCTTGCCCTGTCATCCAGGCTGAAGTGAGTGCAGTGGCACGATCTCTGCTTACCACAGCCTCAACCTCCCAGACTCAAGCAATTCTCCTGCCTCAGCCTCCCCAGTAGCTGGGATTACAGGCATGCACCACCATGCCCAGCTAATCTTTGTATTTTTAGTAGAGACGAGTTGGCCATGTTCTCCATGTTGGCCAGGCTGGTCTCGATCTCCTGGCCTCAAGCGACCTACCTGCCTCGACCACCCAAAGCGCTGGGATTACAGGCGTGAGCCACCACGCCCAGCCTTTCTATTGGTTTTCTTTTTTTTTTTTTTTTCTTTTTCTTTTGTGAGACAGAGTCTCTCTCATGTCACCCAGGCTGGAGTGCAGTGGTGCAATCTCGGCTCACTGCAAGCTCCACCTCCCGGGTTCACGCCATTCTCCTGCCTCAGCCTCCCGAGTAGGTGAGACTACAGGCGCCCGCCACCACCATGCCCGGCTAATTTTTTGTATTTTTAGTAGAGACGGGGTTTCACCGTGTTAGCCAGGATGGTCTCGATCTCCTGACCTCATGGATCCACCCGCCTCGCCCTCCCAAAGTGCTGGGATTACAGGCGTGAGCCACCGCACCTGGCCTTCTATTGGTTTTCTGAGGACTTTTTCATAACTACTAGAAATGTTTGTCATCAAGGCCGGGCACGGTGGCTCACGCCTGTAATCCCAGCACTTTGGGAGGCTGAGGCGAGCGGATCATGAGGTCAGAAAATCGAGACCATCCTGGCTTACACGGTGAAACCCCGTCTCTACTAAAAAAAAAAAATAAATAACACACACAAAAATTTAGCCGGGCTTGGTGGTGGGCACCTGTAGTCCCAGCTACTCGGGAGACTGAGGCAGGAGAATGGCGTGAACCCGGGAGGCGGAGCTTGGAGTGAGCCGAGATCGCACCACTGCACTCCAGCCTGGAGACCGAGCGAGACTCCATCTCAAAAAAAAGAAATGTTTGTCATCTAAAGTCCTGGCCCCAAAAAGCGACAAGAGGGGCTATAGAAGTGGAAAGAAATTGTGCACTGTACCAGTTCTGTTCCAAAAATGAAATCTCAGGTGGGATCAGCTACTGCTGATACACTTCATTAGAATTGCCGCCATTGCCGCCATCAAACAAAATTCGCTCAGACTTTCGTCACGATGTATTGTTACAGGAGTCTCTTTCCCCCATGAGGTAAGAAACTATGGAGCAGTCCTGTAATGTAAGCACAGGCGGTGTTGATAACTGACCCTGGCATTGGAATAAAGAGAAAACTGACTTCCACAGGGAGATGACGTGCTGCGCTGTGGCAGCAGATCTTGTGCAGAATCCGCCGTCAGCAGGGACCACCTGGTCTCTCGGTTACAGGACCTACAGCAGCAGGTCAGAGTGGCCCAGAAGCTTCTCAGAGATGGTGAACTAGGTGAGACTGGCTCCCTGCTTTGGTCCTCCAGCCCCTTCCCTTTTATTTGTTCTGATACCGTTTTGGACTCAGGGATACTCAGTACTGATGGGAGAATTGGATGTAATTATCCCCATGCCAGCCACAAGATGGCTATATAGGCCAGTGAGTCCAAACCCTGACCAGCTTTGTTACTGTGGGGCCCTTGAAAAGGGGCCAGGTGATTTCAGCTGTTGTTTTCTTCTGCATCTGATTGCTAAGTTGAAGTACCCCTGCCAACTAACGGGTCATCGCTGACATCCGTGAGCTGTGTGCAGTTCCAGAAGTTGAGTGTCATTTATTTTAATTCCAGGGCCTAGTGATGTAACTTCCTAGAAGGGCGGTTCTTCCCTCCTCAGAGCTAGTCTCTGCTAGAGAGCAGTGGGGCGTGAGCCCAGCTGATAGGAGTGTCTTGCTTTTGTCTGAGACTTGCGGAGCTCCCCATTGCCCTTGAAAACCCTGCCTTAGAGCTTGACATCATGGGATTTTTATTTACCCTGCTTTATGAAAGTTGACCTTTAGCTTAGATTTCAGGGTCAAGAGAAATCATGGCCGTACGTGAAAGGTAGAGTTGGTCGAGTTGGGAAGTTAATGTTGAAAATACAGTGTAAATGTGGGGAGGCCTCCCCTAGCGCCTTTCTCCACTGACAGAGAAAACAGAAGAAAACAGCAGCTTTATTGGAACAGACATTGTGCGTTGGTGACAACCCAGGGAGGCCAGGGGGAATTTCCACATTCAGCCCAGCTGATTCAGAGGATTTGAGACCTGGATTCTCATTCCTAGGACTGGGCTTCTGTCTATAGTGAGACGTCTTTCCTCTGCATTGACAGAGCGAGCTGTTCAGCGGCTGTCGGGGTGCCAGCGTGACGCCGAGAGCTTCCTGTGGGCAGAGCACGCCGTGGTGGGAGAGATCGCGGATGGCCTGGCCCGGGCCTGTGCTGCCTTAGGTACAGCATGAGCCTTCACGTTCTGCGTCGGGAACAGTCTGCTGTGGGCACTTCGCCGTGGCCCCGGCCTTGTCTGCCTGGTTACCCCCCGCTCTGTAAACTGAGGGTGCTCCCCCTCTCGTTCCATTTCCTCCCCCTGAAAATATGCATCCACAGTTGACAGTGGTTCTTTTCTGGAACAAGATTTTTCTCTTCTCACAGGAGACTGGCAAAAGTCAGCCACCCATCTACAGAGGAGTCTCTACGTGGTGGAGGTTCGCCACGGGCCGTCCAGTGTTGAAATGGGCCATGAGCTCTTCAAATTGGCCCAGATCTTTTTCAACGGGTGAGTCCCTTTCCCACTTCACAGGGCACACACTGTTCCTTTCCTAGGCTCTTCTGGGTATTACTTTTTTTCTATGGTGTTTTTAAAAGCATGTTGAAACTTCTTTATTTCCTCTTTAGGAGAGATCTTTGCCTTCTGTTTTGCTAACAAACATAACGCTTTAGAATTTCCTCCTGGGAGGCGGAGCTTGCAGTGAGCCAAGATCGCGCCACTGCACTGTAGCCTGGGCGACAGAGCGAGACTCCATCTCAAAAAAAAAAAAAAAAAGAATTTCCTCCTGGGAGATATGGGGAAAGCTTTTAGATCTCAAGTGAGTTTCCCAGAGAGAACTTGGCCAGGCAGCCCCACCCACCCTCCAGTATAGCTCTCCTTCTGGTTGTTCTCTGGTTCGTCACAGCCCCTTTGGCTGTCTCATTCCCAGCACTCTCAGCTCCAGGCTCTCTGCCTTCTCCCTACTCTGCATCCTCTTCCTTTTAAAGCGTTTGCTTGAACCAGGGCTGATTTTACCCCCAGACAACATGTGGCATTGCCTGGAGACTTTTTTTTTTTTTTTTTTGAGAAGGGGTCTTGCTGTCTTGCCCAGGCTGGAGTACAGTGGCTCGGTCACAGCTCACTGCTTCCTGCAACTCCTGGGCTCAAGCGATCTCTGGAGACATTTTGGATTGTCATGACTTGGAAGGGGGGTGCTGCTGGCATCTATTCGAAAGAGGCCAGAGGTGCTGCTAAGCATCCTCCCGGGTACAAGACAGTGCCCCCCCCACCAACCCCAGCAAAGAAGGAGCCAGCAACAGTGTCAATAGTGTCAGGGTCGAGAAACCCTGCTTTTTTGCTGCTGTTGTTTGTTTTTTGTTTTAAATCCCCTGTTCTACTTTGAAGGTTAAAAGGAAAGAACAGCACGCTGATGAGCTGATGCCAAATCCACTTTTGCTACTGAGACCATTTAGGGCCCAATTTCAGGATTTCCGGGTGGAACCTCCAACCCTGGTAAAGCTGCCCTTGGTGTATGTGGCTATGAGAAAGTGCTTAAAGCTTCAACCTAAGGCTGTGCTGAGTGGGCCTGGTACCCAAGACACAGAGACATTCTGTTTGGTCAGAGAGAGAGAAAAGGGCTGCAGAGTTAGGTCAGAGGTCAGCCCTAAGATGGTCACCCTAAAATGAAAACTGCTATGTAAACCTGTGGTAAATACCAGATGAAAACTTTGAGGCCGGGTGTGGTAGCTCACGCCTGTAATCCAGCTGCCCAGGAGGTTGAGGCAGGAGAATCACTTGAACCCGGGAGGCGGAGGTTGCAGTGAGCCGAGGTCGCACAAATACCTGGGCGACAAGAGTGAAACTCTTGTCTCAAAAAAAAAAAAAAAAGCTTTGAGATTTGCCTCGTGTTCTCAGGATCCTGGCGTCTATACTATCTTTTATAACTGTTTTCTCACACTTTTGTTTTGCAGCGTGTTTGTGACAGTGTCTTACTTACTGTTCTAGATTGTAGGATCCTTGATGACAGAAATGATCTTACATTCTTCACGGTGTGTGAGTAGGCCCTCAATTAACATTTGCCTCACAAATCAGTGAACTAACTCCTCTTACCTCCCTTGGCTCAGGTTTGCAGTACCCGAAGCCCTGAGCACAATACAGAAAGCTGAGGAGGTTCTGTCGCTGCACTGTGGCCCATGGGACGATGAAATCCAGGAGCTCCAGAAGATGAAATCCTGTTTGTTGGACTTACCACCCACCCCTGTAGGGCCTGCATTGTAGGGTTCCAGGAGGATTTTGACCCACAGAAAAGGAGCCCATGGAACACAAGTTAAAGAGGTTTTGCTGGCCAGGTATGGTGGCTCACGCCTGTAATCCCAGCACTTTGGGAGGCTAAGGTGGGCGGATCACCTGATGTCAGGAGTTCAAGACCAGCCTGGCCAACATGGTGAAACCCCATCTTTACTAAAAATACAAAAAACTAGCCAGGCGTGGTGGTGGGCACCTGTAATCCCAGCTACTTGGGAGGCTGAGGCAGGAGAATCTCTTGAACCCAGGAGGCGGAGGTTGCAGTGAGCCGAGATCGCTCCACTGCACTCCAGCCCAGGTGACAGTGTGAGACTCCATCTCAAAAAAAAAAATAAGAGGCCGGGTGCGGTGGCTCAAGCCTGTAATCCCAGCACTTTGGGAGGCCGAGGCAGGCAGATCACGAGGTCAGGAGATCCAGACCATCCTGGCTAACACGGTGAAACCCCGTCTCTACTAAAAATACAAAAAAATTAGTCGGGCGTGGTGGCGGACGCCTGTATTCACAGCTACTCGGGAGGTTGAGGCAGGAGAATGGGGTGAACCCGGGAGGAAGAGCTTGCAGTGAGCCGAGATCGCGCCACTGCACTCCAGCCTGGGTGACAGAGCCAGACTCCATCTCAAAGAAAAAAAAAAAATATTAAGAGGTTCTGCTGCCAGATGTGGGTTCTGTGGGTCGGGTGTGGGTTCTGTGGGTCGGGTGTGGGTTCTGCAGACCAGGTGCGGATTCTGTGTAGGTTCTGCAGGCCCAGTGTAGAGGCTCACACCTGTAATCCCAGTACTTTGAGACGCTGAGGTGGGAGGATCACTTGAGCCCAGGAGTTCAAAACCAGCCTGGGCAATATAGTGAGACCGTATCACTACAAAAAAGTTTTTTTAGTTCACCGAGCATGGTGGCACATGCCTGTAGTCCCACCTACTCGAGAAGCTGAGATAGGGTCACCTGAGCCTGGTAGGCTGAGGCTGCAGTGAGCCAAGATCGCACTACTGCACTCCAGCCTGGGTGACAGAGTAAGACCCTGTCTCAACAAAAAAATAACAGGTTCTGTTGCTGCTGAGCTTTCGTCAGGAAGATAAGACTTTCCCAACAGTCCGAAGCCTAGGATATGAGGGCTGAGGAGGACTCAAACCGTTGCAGTCAGAGAGACACCTATTTTGGTGAATATTTTTTGAAATAGTTAAGTGGCCTCCAGTACAAACTCCCAGTTCCCAGAAAAGACTTAAAACTAGTATCTGGAGATTCCAAGTCCTTTAAAAGGATTTTAGCTGATCTGCAGGCATCTGGATGTTAGCCTGGGGTTTTGGCTGGATTCCACCTCGCTCAGTGATGATAGTCTGTTTCCCTGGAACATTCCTGTGGTTTTAGTAGTAATGAGATGTGTGCACCACTCCAGTGGGAACTGAAGCTCTTAGTAGTTACATTGTAATTAAAAAAGAATTATAAAACAAGAAATCAGCAAGCCTGCTTACCTCCAGAGACACACCGTTCCACTTACAGTATCTAGCTTCCTCGACTCCTTTGTTAAAATCGTGGAGTATGAACCGTGACCAGAGAAGTAAATATGGAGCCGTTTTATTGAGCAGTTTCCTCCAGGGATGACGGCTGTCAGTGTGTTTCCTGCCAGTTTTCCAGTCCTTACTCTCTGCCCTTCATTCTGTACTCTTGGCAGAGTCAGTAACCAACCACTAATAAAATCAAAGTTGTAGTAAAGACTTTATAACACATATGCCTCCTTCTGAGTTGTTGGTTTTGTTTTGTTTTGTTTTGTTTTGTTTTGTTTTTGAGATGGAGTTTCACTCTTGTTGCCCAGGCTGGAGCGCAATGGCGCGATCTTGGCTTACGGCAACCTCCGCCTTCCGGGTTCAAGTGATTCTCCTGCTTCAGCCTCCCGAGTAGCTGGGATTACAGGCGCCCGCCACCACGCCTGGCTAATTTTGTATTTTTAGTAGAGACGGGATTTCACTATGTTGGTCAGGTTGGTATCAAACTCCCGGCCTTAGGTGATTTGGCCTCCCAAAGTGCTGGGATTACAGGCGTGAGCCCGGCCCTTTTTTTTTTTTTTTCTTTTTTTCTTAAGACAGAGTCTCCCTCTGTCACCAAGGCTGGAGTACAGTGGCACAGTCTTGGTTCACCGCAACCTCTGCCTCCCAGGTTCAAGCGATTCTCCTGCCTCAGCCTCCCGAGAAGCTGGCATTACAGGCATTCGCCAGTACGCCCGGCTAATTTTGTATTTTTAGTAAAGATGGGATTTCTCCATGTTGGCCAGGCTGGTCTTGAGCTCCCGACCTCAGGTGATCCGCCCGCTTCGGCCTCCCACAGTGCTGGGATGACAGGCGTGAGCCACCGCGCCCGGCCCTGAGTTCTATTTGTTGTCAAGCCTGAAAAGAGACTCCTTTTCTCCACCAGACCTCTCCAAACTGGCGAGTAGAATACAGACAGTATGAGAACTGGAGGCTGCAGGGGATTCTAACAATGCTGAGGGTATGGACGTTGCTGTTTGTGGTTCAGATTTAAGAGACAGAAGGCAGAAGGTAGGGATGATAGCTGCCTTCCACCAGGATGTGTAGCGACAGCCCAGACCCCGTTCCAGTCAGAAGGTTACGGGATTCTCTAGGTCGGAACCCTGGTTGCTGTGTTACCACTGGTGCCAAGTAGTTGAGGTGCATTCGTGGAAAAGAATGCCAGATCCACGCTGCTTTTGAAAGCTTGCCCACCCTCACCATGCCCAAGTGCCCGTTGGTTGCCATTGCATTATGATCAGGAAATCAGTAGCCCCAGAGATACCTGGCAATAGCTTTTTGAGAATCTGGAATACAGTTAGCACTCAAACATTTGTAGAATGAAGGGCAGTAGAATTATCATTTCTCCTCCTGTCTAATAACTGTGACAAGGGAGTGGCCGGTGACTTTTTTTGGTAGAGCTTTTTCAAGAAAAAGTTTAGTCCTACGGACAGTTCGGTAGTTATTCTACTTCAGACACTGGGCATGTTTCATGTTCTTCAAAAAGCCCAGTTATACTTTGGTTTTTTGTTGTTTGAGACGGAGTTTTGCTCTTATTGCCTAGATTGGAGTGCAATGGCGTGATCTCGGCTCACTGCAACCTCCGCCTCCCGGGTTCAAGTGATTCTCCTGCCTCAGCCTCCCCAGTAGCTGGGATTACAGGCATGTACCACCACACCCTGCTAATTTTGTATTTTTAGTACAGACGGGGTTTCTCCGTGTTGGTCAGGCTGGTCTCAAACTCCTGATCTCAGGTGATCCGCCCGCCTCGGCCTCCCAAAGTGCTGGGATTATAGCCATGAGCCACCACACCCGGCTGTACTTTATAAAATAGGCATACCTCCTTACAAAGAATATGTTCAGAATCTTTACGTATCGGGTCCATTTCCTTAAGTTACAAATGGCCTCTCCTATCTGTCCATGTGTTGTTTACGAGCAGGCTTCCCTGATTATGGGGGCAGGAAATGGCCTCCCGGGAGGATCACTGATCCTAGTACAGAAATACCCCCAGAGCAGAGAAGCTGTCCGTGCCTTATCCAACACAGGTAACTAAGAGTTCTTATGAACGGTGACTTCCTGCAGTGTTTAGATAAAACCAGGCTAGAAGTAGAGGACCACCAAATTCCTCAAGAGCTGTTTCTCTTCATATGATATTTCGCATAGCTCAAAATAGGAGGAGGAACGAAGTAACAGAAGTTAGGGATAAAGCTCTTTTATTGTATGCATTGAAACCTTACAGGGGCAGCCTTCGTGTCCTGTGGAATCTGCTGTCCCTCGGGTTTTCTTCTAGGGTATTGGAATATTAAACTGGGATATTAGGGGCCCCTGGGGTCCAGAATCTTGCCAATGAAGAGAAGGGCCCCTGTGTCTGTGTCCCTCAGTACGAAGATGAAAGGCTGGTTAAGGTGATAGTCCAGCGGGAAGGTGAGGTGGGCAGGCTGCAGCCCTGGGCTGGGGGTGGTTCCCGCCCCATCCTCGTTCCACTCAAAGCCAGCCCGGTGTTCCACCTGAGTCAGCTTGATGGGTTTGCCTGTGATCTTGCTAAAGTCTGGTGAATCAAACAAGGATTGCAGCTCTGTAGAGATGGAGAGAGATTTCCGTTAAAACCCTGCCTTCCCCAACACCCCAACCAAGGGATCCCTTTGCAAGCAAGCTGGGATGGCGCAGCACTGTTGACTTTCTCTGAGGCCTGAAGAGGTCTGAGCTGACCGAGGGTGGAGTGACTTGCCCAGGAGCATTTAGCAAGTTAGGTCAAGATGAGAAAACAGGTCAGACAGACTCGTCTTGAGAGGCAGTGTTGTGAGCGCCTGTCAGGGAGGTCTGCTCGTGAGGCTGAGGAATGAGTCTGATGAGAGAAGGCAGTTCAGCCTTCCCTTCTGGCACGATGAGGATTAAGGACTCATCCACGGCCCCCCTACAAGCCTGTGGAGCCCTTGCGTTCTGCTTAGCACAGTGGAAGGCCCAAAGACCCTGCCCCACCCCATCCACCCACCAAGAGCGAAAGGGTCTTCAGACATACTCATCTCCTGCAGGGACTTGGTGACTTCGCCTTCATAACTCAGCTTCAGCTTGGGGACAGTGAGGACCGCCTGCACGGTCTTCAGTTCTCGGTCTATGTCATGAATGAACTCGGAGGTGAGGCTCTCCTCTATCAAGGTCAAATTCTGGGTCACTTTCAGGGGCAGGAAGAAGATGATACTCATGCTTCCGGTCAAGGGCAGCTGGGCAATCTGAGACAAGTGAGAAAGCATGTGGTTAGTCCTTCAGAGCCCAAAAGCCGGGGACAGACACAGCCAGGAGCTGCCTTCCCTCTCCCGTGACGGGGCCCTGGTCTCGTCCTTCATCCAGCCCCTCATCTATTTAACAATTCCCCTTCCAGGTTATAGCTTTCTGGCAGTGAGCCATCTCCTGAGGTTTCTTCAGAAAGGATGCTGTTGGCCTTTCTTACCTTGGCCTAATACCAACTGAAGTTGTCTGCTGAAAGAATGTTCTCCTGTGGTTTAAGGAGCTAGAATTGAATTTCAGGTCTTTATTTTCTCCCAAAGTCCATCGGCCAACATTTACTGCTCATTTGTTAAATAGAGAGCACTGGACTAAGACAGGGAGAACCGGGGATAGGAATACCGAAGGGGCCGTAAGAGGGCTTGGAGACTTCACCCCATCCACCCACCAAGAGCAAAAGCCTCCTTTGAACAGAGGCTCTTAACCTAAGGTCCATGGAACAGATGGTGTCAGGGATCCCAAGAGTCTCCGAAATCGTTGACAGAAACGTGTGTGCACACCTGGCGGTGCTCCCTCGGGTTTGAGGCACTGTCGTCAGATTCCCAGAGAGATCCGTGTGATAGCCGTGGCCCAAGAAAGGTTAACAGTTACAGACTTAGAACTAAAAGAAGTCAGGTACACTGAAAGCCTTAGAATGCCAACGATTGGCCAAGCGTGGTGGCTCATGCCTGGAATCCCTGTGTTTTGGGAGACCGAGGCAGGCGGATCACCTGAGTTTGGGAGTTTGAGACCAGCCTGACCAACATGGAGAAACCCCGTCTGTATAAAATTAGCCAGGCATGGTGGCACACGCCTGTAATCCCAGCTACTCAGGAGGCTGAGGCAAGAGAATCGCTTTAACCCAGCGGGGCGGAGGTTGTGGTGAGCCGAGATCGTGCCACTGCACTCCAGCCTGGCCGACAGAGCGAGACTGTCTCAAAAAAAAAAAAAAAGATGCCAACGATTTGGAGTTTGTCATTATTTTTCAAAGTTTGGCTTTAAATTCTAGAAATAGGAGTCTCAAGAGAACAAACATGTGGGTGCCCAGTCTGAGGGCCCATTTCCTATTACCTTATTCGTCCTTACAACAAACCCTGGGAGGGTAAGTGTTGGTAACGATCCCCTGCCCCATCTTAAGAGGAGGAAAGCTCAGACATGTTATTAACCTGCTCAAAGTCACACAGCAGGCGACATGTAGACAGCTGTCGGATCTCAAAGGTCATTTTATTCCCACTACCCTGTTTTGCTTCTCTATCCTCTCCCTCCATCCACCCCCCACCCTGCCCCTATCCCTACAGACCTTGCAGCTGAGATCTGAATCCAAGCCATAGCGTAAAACAGCCTTAGGGTCCGACATCATGGGGACCCTCACGGTCCTCTCTTCATCCAAGTAGAAATCCTCGAGGGAAGTCTTTCTGGAGTCAAACTTTGTTACCCACTGCCCTGGAAAGAAGTGTATGACATAGTCTGAGCCCCAGGAGACCAGAAAGACAGTGGCGCCATGCTGTGTCCCCAGAGCACGTTGTTGAAAATTGCCCCACTCAAGGGAGCTTAGCTGTCAGGGGCTCTGAGGCCTCAGGGAATAGGCCTATCTCAGTGTGTGTGGCTTGGAGCCTACAGTTATTTCCAGGACCCCAAGTGCCCTTCACCAGCAAACTCCGATGGCAAGACGTTGATTTGGTTGATTAGAGTCTAGATTGTACACGTTCTGTGATAGCCTGCAGGAAAAGTAAAGTGGTAGCCGGGCATGGTAACTCACACCTGGAATCCCAGCATATTGGGAGGCCGGGGTGGGTGGATCACTTGAGGTCAGGAGTTTGAGACCAGCCTGGCCAACATGAAAAAACGCTGTCCTAAAAATACAAAAATGGCCGGGCACGGTGACTCACGCCTGTAGTCCCAGCCCTTCAGGAGGCCAAGGTGGGCAGATCACTTGAGGTCAGGAGTTTGAGACCAGCGTGGCCAACATGGCAAAACCCCGTCTCTACTAAAAATACAAAAATGGCCGGGTGTGGTGCCTCACATCTGTAATCTCAGCACTTTGGGAGGCCAAGGCGGATGGATCATCTGAGGTCAGGAGTTTTCGAGAACAGCCTGGCCAGCATGGCGAAACCCCATCTCTACTGAAAATACAAAAACTAGCCGGGTGCAGTGGTGGGTGTCTGTAATCCCAGCTACTCGGGAGGCAGAGACAGGAGAATCACTTGAACCTGGGAGCCAGAGGTTGCAGTGAGCTGAGATCACACCACAGCACTCCAGCCTAGGCAAAAAGAGCGAAACTCCATCTCAAAAACAAAAGAAAGAAAAGTAAACTGGTGTGCACTCCTACAGCAGTGTCTCTGGGAGACAGTCAAAGAAGGTCTGAGCTGGGAAGGACCTCTGAGGTCCTCTGGATTAAGTCCTCTTGTAGCTGAAAACAGGCCAAAGCCAAAGAGGTGAAGTAACTGGCTGACGCTCTGGAAGCCAGCTGATGGCCAAGCCCCTTTAGTTTAATGTGACCTATAATATCCTGGACCCAGAGCTGTTCCTTCACTCACTAGACATCAGTGCTTGAAGTAGGAAGCCGTTTGGATTTTGTCCAGGCTCGGGGGCCGCTCTTGCTGGTGCCTCAGATGGTTACAAAGCGTTTTAAGGGAGAGTTTGCCCAACCCCTCCCCCTACCCCAGGCCACCCCACAAGGCCTTATCTGAACAGGGCTGGCCCCACACAAGACCCGTGGAACAAGCTCCAAACACATCACCACAGCCTAGAAGGATGTCGTTGGCCACCTGCCATGTCTTGGGTACAGAACTAGAGCTGTTAGAAAACTTGGAGACAACATAAAAAGGTGTCTATGAAGTAGATATATTATCCTCACGTTAAAGGTGAGAACGTAGGCCCAGAAAGGTTATGAAATGTGTGCAGAGTTCCTCAGCTAGTACAGGCAGAGCTGGGATTTAAACCTTGTCTGATTTGGCCAGCGCAGTGGCTCACGCCTGTAATCCCAGCACTGTGGGAGGCCGAGGCGGGTGGATCATCTGAGGTCAGGAGTTTTCGAGAACAGCCTGGCCAGCATGGCGAAACCCCATCTCTACTGAAAATACAAAAATTAGCTGGGTGTGGTGGCGGGCGCCTGTAATCCCAACTACTCGGGAGGCTGAGGCAGGAGAAGCACTTGAACCTGGGAGGTGGGGAGGCTGTAGTGAGCCAAGATGGCACCACTGCACTCCAGCCTGGGCAACAGAATGAGACTCCATCTTAAATAAATAAATAAATCTTGTCTGACTCAAAAGCTGGGAAAGCCCCAAACAGACCCAGTGTTCATTCTTCCTCCCTCTCTGCTCTTCTGTCTCCACAAGTCTCTCACTCTATAGACATTCACGCCTTGCCTTGGATTTGATGACAAGCAGGTAAGCTTCAGGCAAGCACAGTTCCCAGATCCTCCCCCAGCTGTGACCCAGACTCCATGCTGGGCAAGGTCTTTGACACCTCCCTTTCCAAGCCCCTTCTGATGTCTGCCATCCATCCTTGGTCAAACAAGAAGTGGAAAGTTGGACATGGTAATCCCAGCATTTTGGGAGGCCGAGGTGGGAGGATCACTTCAGCTCAGGAGTTCGAGACCAGCCTCGGCATCATAGTGACACCCTGTCTCTTAATTTAAAAATAAATGTAAAAGGGCCGGGCGCAGTGGCTCACGCCTGTAATCCCAGCACTTTGGGAGGCTGAGGCGGGTGGATCACGAGGTCAGGAGATCGAGACCACGGTGAAACCCCGTCTCTACTAAAAATACAAAAAATTAGTAGGGCGCAGTGGCGGGCGCCTGTAGTCCCAGCTACTCGGGAGGTCGAGGCAGGAGAATGGTGTGAACCTGGAAGGCAGAGCTTGCAGTGAGCCGAGATCGCGCCACTGCACTCCAGCCTGGGTGACAGAGCAAGACTCTGTCTCAAAAAATAAATAAATAAATGTAAAAGGGCCGGGCGCGGTGGCTCATGCCTGTAATCCCAGCACTTTGGGAGGCCAAGGTGGGAGGATTACTTGAGCCCAGGAGTTCGAGACCAGCCTGGGCATCATGGCAACACCTTGTCTCTTAATTTAAAAATAAAAAGGGCTGGGCGTGGTGGCTCAAGCTTGTAATCCTAGCACTTTGGGAGGCTGAGGCGGGCAGACCACCTGAGCTCAGGAGTTCGAGACCAGCCTGGCCAACATGGTGAAACCCCATGTCTATTAAATACAAAAAATTAGCCGGGAGTGGTGGTACATCCCTGTAATCCCAGCTACTCGGGAGGCTGAGGCACAAGAATTGCTTGAACCTGGGAGGCGGAGGTTGCATTGAGCTGAGATCGCACCACTGCACTCCAGTTAGGACTACAGAGTAAGACTCCATCGAATTAATTAATTAGTTAAAATACAGTAAAATAAATGAAAAAGAATTGGAGACGCGCTCACCCTTGAAGTGCGCCACACCGAGAAGGAGAATGCTGATCTCATCGGGAATTTCCTTTGTGGACCTGGCGAGCTTCCCTTTCATCTGCGCCTGCACCCAGTTGTTGATCTCTTGCAGGTCCAAGCGAGGGTTGCCCGTCAGGACTCTGGGCCTGGTCCCATATGACTTTTCCAGAGGTGCCACAAAGCTGGATTTTATGCGCAGCTCTGAGAAGAGGCGGAGCAGAGGTTAGCGTATGAGACTCGACGACAAGCATCCCGTCTTTGAGAGCCTGCCAGGCTCGGGTTCTGGTTTAGCGCTCAGCAGGCCCTGACTTCCCAGCCAGCATCTTCCTGTGACTTGCCAGGACTTCTGCTGGCATCCCCAGGCACTGGCCAGGGGGGCAGCAGATTTCCCCACATCGCGCCACTGCCCTCCCTGCCCCTCCCACCGTCTCCTGCAGCCCACTTCCTCTTTCTGAGCCTCTTTGGGCTCACGGGCCCTTCCTCCACACCAGTGCCAGGCCAGGCCTGGGCACACATGATCTATTGTTTAGAAACGGGCCGAGCGCGGTGGCTCACACCTGTAATCCCAGCACTTTGGGAGGTCGAGGCGGGCAGAACACCAGGTCAGGAGATCGAGACTATCCTGGCAAACACGGTGAAACCCCGTCTCTGCTAAAAATACAAAAAAGATTAGCTGGGCACCTGCAGTCCCAGCTACTCGGGAGGCTGAGGCAGGAGGATGGTGTGAACCCGGGAGGTGGAGGTTGCAGTGAGCCGAGATCACGCCACTGCACTCCAGCCTGGGCAACAGAGCGAGACTCCGTCTCAAAAAAAAAAAAAAAAGACCCCCCCAGCCTGCAGCATGGAGCCCACATGCCTCAGGCAACTTGGGCTGCAAAGGCGACTCACTCTTCTCAAAGACGATCCGGGAGGCACTCTTGAGGTTCTTCTGGGGGGCAGTGACCGTGTCAAGGAGCTCCTTATAGGTACCATGGATGTCTGGGCTGCTGATCAAGTCATAGTAGAGAGCCCGGTGAATGATGGATTCTGTTCGCTGCTCCGCTCCTGCCAGAGACAAGGATGTGGACGTTGATAACTGCACACCAGGGCCCCAAATCAAGCCCCCTCCCAGAACACAGACACTATACTCATCTTTTTTGTCTGCTGAGAGCCCAAGTAGGCTGATCTTCAAGACAATCTAGGTGGCCAAGGAATTTTCATCCTTAGAGATTTTCCTGAAGTAGGTTAAAGGCATCAGGCCTGGAAGGTGGGAGTGAGGGAGTGAGAGGTACCAGTCCCTGTACTTCTCCCATCATAGCCCTTAAGATTATTCTGGCCAGGCGCGGTGGCTCACGCCTGTAATCCCAGCACTTTGGGAGGCCAAGGCGGGTGGATCGCTTGAGCCCGGGAGTTTGAGACCAGCCTAGGCAACATGGTGAAACCCCGTCTCTACTAAAAATACAAAAATTAGCTGGGCATGATGGCAGGTGCCTGTAATCCCAGCTACTCTGGAGGCTGAGGCAGGAGAATTCCTTGAACCAGGGAGGCAGAGGTTGCAGTGAGCTGAGATCACACCACTGCACTCCAGCCTTGGCGACAAAGCGAGACTCCGTCTCAGAAAGAAAAAAAAAAAAAAAAAAAGACTATTCTGTAGTGAGCTGGTATTAGTTCCCCTGTGAACCCAGCTGTGTCCTCGGTGAGGGCAAGCCCACACCTGCTTGTTTGCAGTTACATCCCAGGAACCTAGGCTAGCACCAGCTTGGTTAAGGAATGCAAGAATGTGCCTTGAAGTCACTGTGTCAATAAGCGAACCCTGAGGCCAAGCGCCATGTCAGTGGTGCCCAGCCCCTTTCGGGGAGCTGGGGAATCGTGTGTGTGCAGCCCCTGAGCTCCTGCTTACACAGCTGGGACCCCCAGGCCAGGCCCCTGGTGCTACTTCACCCCTCGCTGAACTGAAATGTCAATAAACTCAGCCACGTTTACGCAGAGGCCACAGGGGGCCTCTCCAGGTCTGCCTGGGGCTTCCTGCATCTGAGCACTCACCCAGCGAGAGGGCCGAGAGGGCCGTGGCCACACTGAGAGGAGACAGGAGCACGTTGGTCGTGGGGCTCGTGCTGGATCGCACCCGGTACAGGTCATAGCCGAAGTTGGAGACAGCCGCTGCCAGCTTGTTCACGGGGACTTTGAAGAAAGGATCCTCCTCCTCCACCAGCGCCCCTGTGCTGTCGGGGTCTGGGGAGCCCTGGCAGGAGACAGGAAGTCTTGGGTTTGAGTTCAGGGACTCGCAGAGATGCACAGGGACTGTCTCCTCACGGCTTTGTGTAGGGTGGTGGTTCTGGCCCCTTGGGGCTGTCCTTCCTAATTTTTCTGTGTTTGGCCTAAAACGGGAATGAGTTTTACTCCCTGATCACGCATGAGCTCTCTGTGGAGAGACAGCGCAGAAGAGAGATCAGCTGTTTTTTTTTTATTTGAGACAGAGTCTTACTGTGTCACCCAGGCTAGAGTTCAGTGGCGCGATCTCAGCTCACTGCAACCTCCACCTCCCCGGTTCAAGCGATTTTCCTGCCTTAGCCTCCCAAATGGCTGGGATTACAGGCATGCGCCACTGCGCCTGGCCTCATGGCCAGGTTTAAACACTTGTGACCTATAAGCCG
Source organism: Homo sapiens (assembly GCF_000001405.40). Lineage (NCBI taxonomy): Eukaryota > Metazoa > Chordata > Mammalia > Primates > Hominidae > Homo > Homo sapiens. The sequence goes on along the minus strand of NC_000017.11, from coordinate 1,769,439 downwards.
AAACCTATGACCCACTTTTTTTTTTTTTTTTGAGACGGAGTCTCGCTCTGTCGCTCAGGCTGGAGTACGGTGGCGTGATCTCGGCTCACTGCAAGCTCCGCCTCCCGGGTTCACGCCATTCTCCTGCCTCAGCCTCCCGAGTAGCTGGGACTACAGGCGCCCACCACCATGCCTGGGTAATTTTTTGTATTTTTAGTAGAGACGGGGTTTCACCGTGTTAGGCAGGATGGTCTCGATCTCCTGACCTTGTGATCCACCCGCCTCGGTCTACCAAAGTGCTGGGATTACAGGCATGAGCCACCGCGCCCAGCCCCATGACCCACTTTTTAAAAACCATCAGCCGAGTGGCTCACACCTATAATCCCAGCACTTTGGGAGGCTGAGGTGGGTGAATCACTTGAGGTCAGGAGTTCGAGACCATCCTGGGCAACACGGTGAAACCCGTCTCTACTAAAAATACAAAAAAATTAACGGGGCATGGTGGTGCATGCCTGTAATCCCAGCTACTCAGGAGGCTGAGGCACGAGATTCGCTTGAACCCAGGAGGCAGAGGTTGCAATGAGCTGAGATAGTGCCACTGTACTCCAGCCTGGGTGACAGAGTGAGACCCTGTCTCAAAAAATAAATAAGTAAATAAAAATAAATATAAATATAAAAATTGGGAGCCAGGTGCAGTGGCTTATGCCTATAATCCCAGCACTTTGGCAGGCCGAGGAAGATGGATCACTTGAGCTCAGGAGTTTCAGACCAACCTGAGCAACATGGTGAGGCCCCATCTCTACTAAAAATACCCAAAAAATTAGCTGGGCGTGGTGGAACGTGCCTGTGGTCCCAGCTATTTGGGAGGCTGAGGCATGAGAATTGGTTGAACTCAGGAGGCCAAGATTGCAGTGAGCCAAGATCGCACCACTGTACTCCAGCATGGGTGATGGAGTGAGACTCTGTCTCTAAAAAAAGAAAGTTAAAAAAAAGAACTCAGTTTTTCTTTCTTTCTTTTTTTTTTTTTTTTGAGACGGAGTCTCACTCTGTCGCCCAGGCTGGAGTGCAGTGGTGCGAGCTCAGCTCACTGCAACCTCCACCTCCCGGGTTCACGCCATTCTCCTGCCTCAGCCTCCCGAGTAGCTGGGACTACAGGCGCCCCCCACCACACCCAGCTAATTTTTTGTATTTTTAGTAGAGACGGGGTTTCACCATGTTAGCCAGGATGGTCTCGATCTCCTGACCTCGTGATCCACCCACCTCCGCCTCCCAAAGTGCTGGGATTACAGGCGTGAGCCACCGCGCCCGGCCCCTCACTGCAGTCTTAATCTCCTGGGCTCAAGTGATCCTCCCACCTCAGCTTCCCAAGTAGGTAGTACCACAAGCACTTGCCACCACGCCTGGTAATTTTTGCTTTTTTGTAGAGACAGGGGTCTCACTATGTTGCCTATGCTGGTCTCAAACTCCTGGATTCAAGGGATCATCCTGCTCCGCCTCCCACACTGCTGGGATTACAGGTGTGAGCCACCGCACCCGGCAGAACTGAGTTTTTATTTCCGCCCATTGCCAGCCCCTGTCGAGTAGGTGTTTGGTAGATGAGAAATAAATGAGTGGCCACATGGCCCTGTAGAATGGGTGTTTTTATCCCATTTCATAGGCAAGGAAGCAAAGACTGAGGTAAGGGTTGTCTAGGGTCACAAAGCTAGGAAGAGGGAGACGCAGAATTCATACTCTGACCTCACGAAAGTCCAGGGCTCTCGCCAAGATGCCCAGCTGCTCTTGTCCCTCAAGGGTGGGCCTCCGCCAACACTCACCCCATAACACTCATATGGCCCAGGCTTCCCTCCATGTGCCTGTATCTGCCTTGGGAACCCAGCTGCGCCCTTTCTGGGCAGGAGAGAGGTCACTCCATACCCTCACTCCCTGCCACAGCCTGGTCAGTATCCGAACAAATGTCCGGGAACATGACCTGCTCAGTGGAGCCCCCACTAGGAAGACAAGGTAATGAGAAAAGATCCTGGCCAGGTGCGGTGGCTCACACCTGTCATCCCGGCACTTTGGGAGGCCGAGGCAGGAGAATCACTTGAGGTCGGGAGTTCGAGACCAGCCTGACCAACATGGAGAAACCCCGTCTCTACTAAAAATACAAAATGAGCCGGGCTTGGTGGTGCATGCCTGTAATCCCAGCTGCTTGGGAAGCTGAGGCAGGAGAATTGCCCTGGACTTGTTAAAAGTGCTTCAGATTTTTACTCTTTTGGGATCTTATTCATGTCCCTACTCCATCCCCTGAAAGGCAAGGCAAGACATTTTCTCTCTGTTTTGCTGCTGGAGAAACTCCAGCCCTAGAGAAATAAAGGCCCAAGCCTGGCCTGGAACCTGGGTCCGGGTTCCCTGTCCTGTTTCCCGTGCTGCCTGCCAAGGAGGGGCGGGGAATGCTGACCACGCCCTCCCCGCCTGCCTACTGACCTCCTCCGGGGGGCTGGCAGGGTTCTGGCAGCTGCTGTGCCCGAGGAGGGCTCCAATGCAGAGGAGTAGCACCAGGGCCTGCATCCTGGGGCCTGCAAGAAAAGAACGAGGCAGCAAGCCGCTCTCCCCCGACACTGCACTGCCCCGCTACCCCTTCCTGGCCACCCCAGCCAGGACCCAGGGGTTGGGCAGGGCTAGTCACTTTCCCCCACCCCCTGCAGCGACCACCCCTCACCCCTCCAGGCCCCCAGAAGTGGACCCTCAGCTTGATGGCCCATCCCTCCCAGCAAGGTTCTCCCGCCCCTCCCCCTGCCTCAGGGCCCACAGTCATACCATAAGCTTGTGCTTTTGTTCCACTGTCTGCGTCAGGGGACCCTCCTTTAAGCCTAAAGCTTTTATTTATTTATTTATTTATTTATTTATTTATATTTTATTTTTTGAAACAGAGTCTGGCTCTGTCGCCCAGGCTGGAGTACAGTGGAGCGATCTTGGCTCACTGCAACCTCCGCCTCCTGGGTTCAAGCGATTCTCCCGCCTCAGCCTCCCAAGTAGCTGGAATTACAGGCACCTGCCACCATGCCCGGCTAATTTTTTGTATTTTAATAGCGATGGGGTTTCACCACGTTCATCAGGCTTGTCTCAAACTCCTGACCTCAGGCTATCCACCTGCTTCAGCCTCCCAAAGTGCTAGGGTTATAGGTGTGAGCCATTACACCTGGCCCCTGAACCAATAGCTTTTAAAGATCCAGAGCAGTGGGGCCCCAGCCCCAGCAGGGCTTCTCCACGTGGAGTATGGCCCAGCACAAGTGTATGCTAAAGCTTTGTCCTGGAGGCAGCTGACCCACTCCGGTGATAAGACTTTGGGCAACCCCTCCCAGGAGAATGGGGCAGAACCCAGGTCTCCTCCATGGAATCACCGGATACCAAGCATAGAGGCACCCAGTCCGGCACGTGCTGTCCCTCCAAATTCTCAAGCTGTCTTTGGACTTCTGTGGCCTCACAAGGCAGCTCATTCCCTTCTCCCACAGTTCCCTTTCAAGAGCTCTTCCTCCCATGGTTAGGAGTGCAGGGCCTAGGGTCAGAGATCCTGGGTTCACATTTGAAATTTTTTTTTTTTTTTTTTTTTGGGAGACAAGATCTTGCTGTGCTGCCCAGGCTGGAGTGTAGTGGCTATTCACTACACAACCATAGCACTCCACAGCCTGGAACTCCTGACCTCATGTGATCCTCCTGCCTCAGCCTCGTGAGTAGCTGGGACTGCAGGCGCATGCCATCACACATGGTCTCAGTGCTGTGTCTTAGTAGCTCTTTAAATCACCATTTTTTCTCTTGTAAAATGGAAATAAAATAACCTACTATTAAAATAAAACAACTACCGAGCACAGTGGCTCATGCCTGTAATCCCAGCACTTTGGGAGGCTGAGGCAGGCGGATAGCCTGAGGTCAGGAGTTCGAGACCAGCCTGGCCAACATGGTGAAACCCCATCTATACTAAAAATACAAAAAGTAGCCAGGCGTGGTGGCAGGCCCCTGTAATCCCAGTTACTCAGGAGGCTGAGGCAGGAGAATCACTTGAACCTGGGAGGCAGAGGTTGCAGTGAGCCGATTATGCCACTGCACTCCAGCCTGGGCAACAGAGCAAGACTTAGTCTCAAAAATAAATAAATAAAATAAAATAAAATAAAATAGCCAGGCATGGTGGCACACACCTGTAGTCCCAGCTACTTGGAGGGCTAAGGCTGGAGAATCACTTGAACTTGGGAGGTGGAGGTTGCAGTGAGCCAAGATCGCACCACTGCACTCCAGCCTGGGCAACAAGAGTGAAAACTCCATCTCAAAAAAAAAAAAAAAGGCCAGGCGCAGTGGCTCAAACCTGTAATCCCAGCACTTTGAGAGGCCGAGGCGGGTAGATCACCTGAGGTCAGGAGTTTGAGACCATCCTGGCCAACATGGAGAAACCCCATCTCTACTAAAAATACAAAAATTAGCCGGGTGTGGTGGCGCATGCCTGTAATCCCAGCTACTTGGGAGGCTAAGGCAGGAGAATCACTTGAATCCAGGAAGTGGAGGTTGCAGTGAGCTGAGATCGCGCCACTGCACTCCAGGCTGGGCAACAGAGCAAGACTCCATCTCAAAAAAAAAAAAAAAAGGAAAAAAAAATGTAGAATCTGAACAGCGTTGTCTCCCCTGCCCTGGCCCCCAACACATCATCCTTCATTATCCATTTATATACACAAACATCCACCCACACAGCACACACACTTTTTGACTTCCCAGAACAAAGTGGATCAGAAAATTTGGGAGGACGTTGTGTGATTGTTGGCTCTCGTCCTTCAAATTAAATCAGATAATCCACTGGACAATATCGTGAGGCATGAAAGAAGATTGCCTTTGAGTTTACTCAGCTTAAGGCAGGACGGGCAGCAGGAAGCAGCCTGGTTTTCTTTCTAAACCCCGCCTCGAGCCGCAGACCTCTGCGTTCCCAGCCAGCTGCTCTTGCACGTGGCTGCCCTGACATGCAGGGAGAAAACTTTCGTGTAGACAACAGGAAAAGCTTTCTGCAGCGCAAGACAGAGGCCTCACCACCATCCAGGCCTACAGCTGGTCTCCACCCGGCTGGGGCCAGCCCCACCCAGCTGCCAGGAGCCTGCCTCCCCTGAGCCTCTGCAGACTGGTTTATTAGAGACCAAAAATTCAGTGAGGTACACAGGAGGCAAGGCTAGAAGAGAAGTTGTTAGTTCTAGTTCCTCTGGCCCAAGTAAGAAATTAAGGGAGGAGACAGGCTCATCCCGGCATAGTTTTTTTTGTTTTTGAGACAGAGTTTCACTCTTGTCGCCCAGGCTAAAGTGCAGTGGCGCGATCTCAGCTCAGTGCAACTTCCACCTCCCGGGTTCAAGCAATTCTCCTGCCTCAGTCTCCTGAGTAGCTGGGATTACAGGTGCCCGCCACCACACCTGGTTAATTTTTATGTTTTAGTAGAGATGGGGTTTCACCGTGTTGGCCAGGCTGGCCTGGAATCCTGATCTCAGGTGATCCACCAGCATCCCAAAGTGCCAGGAGTACAGGCGTGAGCCACCATCCCTGGCCATTATCCTGGCATAGTATTTAAGGAAACTAAAGTCACAATTCAAATGGACTTGAAGGAGCGACTTTAGTCTTGGTGCCTACAGAATCTAAGCCCAAACCCCAGATCAGGTGGTAGATGATTGTCACAATGTGGGTAGGCTGAGGTGAGGTGAGGGAGCCTGGCAGGGAAGGGACATGGGTCCAAAGGTGGCCCCGAGCTAGACACAGGGACCCAGAGTATTAACGGCAAGTCTGAATCCTCCACTTCAAGCCATCTGGATAAGGGAAGAGGAGAGATGATTGAAAACCCTACAAGGGCAGTGAGAGGGCAAGCGTGGGGGTCTGCATGGACGCCCCTCAGCACACACGCAATACCCTGTCCACAGTGGTTGCTCATGGGCTGAGCAGGCGACCGCTGGCTGGCTGCAGCCACAGACAATGATGCCATCCTGTCCAAAGGGCAGTATCCAAGCCCCGCTCTCGTCCTAGCAGGCGGGGGAGGGCTCAGGGAGAGGTAGATACCCTCCCTGCTGGGCCAAGGTCAGGCCTTATTTTCTGACAATTGCCCACATCAAGAAACACAGAAGCTTTTGTGATCTTGCCTCCACGTGAGGCGGATCAACTCAAGCCAATACATGTGTTTCAGATTAAGCCCAGTTAGGAGACAAACAGCCTCCACCGCCACCTCCCCCTCTTCCCAGAACCGCACAGCCTTCAGCCACATGGCAGTGGGCCTCGGAGATAGCATGGGGAAGGGCACCTCCCCCTCCCCTGGCTCTCCGGAGGGGATTGAGGGGTCCTCTCTGGCCCACCCATGGTGACCCAGCCCCAAACAATGTTTCCTGAAGCTTTAGAAGCTGAATGAGTCAGCCCAGGGTGCCGTGGAGTTGCACTTCCCCACACCCCAGAAGCAGCAGCCCCAAGAATAGGACTCCCTGCCCTCCAACCCCACGGAACCTGGGGGCTAACGTTGGGTTAGCTAACACCGGGTGGGGGGCCTAGGCTGGACAGGGGCGGGGTTTCTGGGAATCCTGCTGAGACCTACCCCTCCCAGTGGCTTGGCAGGCAGCAGAAAGGGTTCATCTCGGACGGCCCTTGTCTCCAGCACTGGCAGCTGGGCCCCCATGCCCTATACACCTGCCGGCCTAAATAGTGGTCATTGTTTGCCGGAGGCCACAACCTCATTGGTCGCCCAGCCTTGACTCACGTAGCCAAAGAGAGTGGGTGGGGGCTGGCTAGAAGGACCCAGCTGTCCTCCATCCCAGCCCTCAGCCAGGGCGCCGAGGCCAGCGGTTTGGTGGTGCTGGGAAATTGCCTTAACAGTCAGCACCAGCTGATTTTGAAAAAGTAGCAGGGAGCCGAGGGAGCAGGGGCCAGGGCTGGGCTGCAGGGCGGCCGCCTTCCTGACTGCCCTTGGTGGAAGCAGCTCCCGTGAGCCTCCTTGCCTCGGGCTCCAGTCTTGGGGTGCTGCTCAGACCCGACCCAGCAGCTTAGCTCCCCTTTCCTCCCCATGACCGCCCCTCCGCTGTTTCCCACTCACTTCATTCAAAAGCCTTTCCAGCCTCTTCCGTCGGTGCAGTGGGATTTGGGGATCACTGGGTCCTGGCCTTCGGCCTTGTCCCCCCAGCTCCCTCTGCCCTCTCTCATCCACTCACCCTTTTGCCCAAATTGCAGGGGCTGCTGTCTCCGCATTTCCTCTCCCTTGCACCCCTCTTTTCTGCTCCCTGGAGTGCCCCTGCCTCTCCCCTGTCCCCCCAGCCCAGGGGAGCCTCTCCCGCCGTCCCTGGCATCAGAGCAGCCAGGGAGCTGCTTTACCTGTGGATACGCTGCAGCTCCACACCCAGCCTAGTCCCTCTAAGCCTGCACACTGAGGGGGCTCCAGCCAGCACAGAGCTTTTTTTGCTGCCTTCTAATCCAGCGTCCAGCAGGCTTCAGATTACAGCTACTCCTTTCTTAAAGCGACCTGCACTCAATTTGGATTCTGTGATTGCATCACTGTCTCGTGTTAACTTTAACCCACTGCTGCACCACCATCCATTACGCCTAAGGCGCACACATTTGCACACCTTCCTCTTCCTTTAGATTTTCCTTCAGGGGCCGGGCGCAGGGGCTAACGCCTGTAATCCAGCACTTTGGGAGACTGAGGCAGGTGCATCACCTGAGGTCAGGAGTTCAAGACCAGCCTGGCCAACGTGGTGAAACCCCATCTCACCTAAAAATGCAAACAAAGCTGGGCGCAGTGGCTCACGCTTGTTATCCCAGCACTTTGGGAGACCGAGGCCGGGGGATCACCTGAGGTCAGGAGTTCGAGACCAGCCTAGCCAACACGGTGAAACCCCATCTCTACTAAAAATACAAACAAAATTACCCAGGTGTGTTGGCGCGCACCTGTAGTCCCAGCTACTTGGGAGTCTGAGGCAGGAGAATCACTTAAACCTGGGAGGCGGAGGTTGCAGTGAGCTGAGATCACACCACTGCACTCCATCCTGGGCGACAGAGCGAGACCCCGTCTCAAAAAAAGAAAAAAGAAAAAAAGATAGAAAAATTTCTCAATATAGTGACAACCTTATATTTCCGCCTCAGTTCTTTCCCGTCACCATAACCACCATCTTGAATTTGATTTTTATTATTTTCGTACATTTCTTTTTACTTTTACCATGTAAGTTTTTGTCCCTAAGTGATATATAGTATCAGTTTGCATGTTCTTAAACCTTAGGTCAATGTATCACACTGTTCTTTTTTTTTTTTTTCCAATGGAGACTCACTCTGTCACCCAGGCTGGAGTGCAGGGGTGCAATGTCGGCTCACTGCAACCTCCGCTTCCCGGGTTCAAGAGGTTCTCCTGCCTCACCCTGCTGAGTAGTTGGGACTATAGGTGTGCACGAGCATGCCCGGCTAATTTTTGTATTTTTAGTAGAGACAGGGTTTCACCACATTGGTCACGCTTGTCTCAAACTCCTGACCTCAGGTGATCCCGCCCCCCTCAGCCTCCCAAAGTGCTGGGATTACAGGCGTGAGCCACCGTGCCCGGCCATTGTCTTTTCATGTTTATGGCAGGGGTGTCCAATCTTTTGGCTCCCCTGAGACACATTGGAAGAAGAATTGTCTTGGGCCCCACGTAAAATATGCTAACATTAATGATACCGAATGAGCTAAAAAAACAAAAAACAAAACAAAACAAAATCTCAAAAAAAATCTCATAATGTTTTAGGAAAGTTTACGAATTTGTGTTGGGCTGCAGTCAAAGCTTTTCTGGGCCACATGCAGCCTGTGGGTCATGGGTTACACAAGCTTGTTTTAAAACAAGTTTTTAATTTTAACACCAACATTTTCAATCTTTTCTTTTATAATTTGTGCTTCTTTTGGTATCTTTTTTAAAAAATCTCTTCTTCCCCGAGATCACGAAGGGATTCATCTATACTTTCTTCTAAAACGTTTACAATTTTAGGCCGGGTGTGGTGGCTCATGCCTGTAATCCTAACTATCGGGAGGCTGAGGTGGGTGGATCACCTGAGGTCAGGAGTTTGAGACCATCCTGGCCAACATGGTGAAACCCTGTCTCTACTAAAAAAAATAAAAATAATAAAATATTTACAGTTTTGTCTATTGTATATGTGTTTGTATTAGCTTTTGTTTTGTTTTTTTGTTTGTTTTGTTTTGTTTTGTTTGAGATGGAACCTTGCTCTGTGGCCCAGGCTGGAGTACAGTGGCACAATCTCGGCTCACTGCAACCTCTGCCTCCCAGGTTCAAGCGATTCTCCTGCCTCAGCCTCCTGAGTAGCTGGGATTACAGGAGCACGCCACCACGCCCGGCTAATTTTTGTTTTTGTTTTTGTTTTTGTGTTTTGGTACAGACAGGGTTTCACCATATTGGCCAGGCTGGTCTTGAACTCCTGACCTTAGGTGATCACCTGCCTCGGCCTCCCAAAGTGCTGGGATTACAGGAGTGAGCCACCATACCTGGCCTGTATTTGCTTTTTAAAGCAGAATACTATTTCCAAAAGGATACAAAAAAGAGATGAAAAACACTGCATCCCAAGAGTAGAATCCAGTGACTGGAAATCAGAATGAGAGGAAGGCTTTTCACTGGGTGCTTTTTGTTGCTTTTGAGTTGTGAACCACGTGAACAAAATACCTATTCACAAATAAGCAAATCATTTAAATAAGTCCTTAGTAAAGTTTCTGGGCCAGGTGTGGTGACTCATGGCTATAATCCCAGCACACTTGAGCCCAGGAGTTGGAGACCAGCCTGGGTGACGTGGTGAAAAATGCTTGCCTCTATAAAAAATAATAATAAATAAAAATCTTAAAATCATAAATTATACAGAAGAGTTCTCTTTTGTCCGACCCCTGTTAGAAGAATGTGTCCTCTCCTGCAGGGTCAGCGTGTCCGGCCCTCAAAGATCCTTCCCCACCTTCTTTTTTTTTTGAGACGGAGTCTCACTCTGTCCCCCAGGCTGGAGTACAGAGGTACCATCTCGGCTCACTGCCACCTCCACCTCCAGGATTCCAGTGATTCTCCTGCCTCAGCCTCCTGACTGGCTGGGATTACAGGCACGTGCCACCACTCCCGGCTAATTTTTGTAGTTTTAGTAGAGATGGGGTTTCACCATGTTGGCTAGGCTGGTCTCAAACTCCTGACCTCAAGTGATCTGCCCACCTCTGCCTCCCAAAGTGCTGGGATTACAGGCACGAGCCACCGTGCCCAGCTAATTTTTTGTATTTTTAGTAGAGACGGGGTTTCATCGTGTTAGCCAGGCTGGTCTCGAACTCCTGACCTCAAGTGATCTGCCTGCCTCGGCCTCCCAAAGTGCTGGGACTACAGGCGTGAGCCACCGTGCCCGGCCCCCGACTTCTTTAAAAGACACTTCCTTGACGCTACATCCCCTAAAGCCACTGCCCATTTCTCGGTGCTCGCTCAGAGCCGCTCTGGAAGGAGCAGTTTCCTCTTTTGTCTACGCTGCCTCGGCTCCCATTTCAATTCTAGACTTGTGTCTGTGGCCACTTCTCCACTGAAATTCCTGTCACCAAGTTCATGGGTGACCTTATGTCAACTGGCAGTGGACACCTCCGTCCTTGGCAGGAGGCAGTAGACAGTTCCTCCTCCTTGAAACCCTCACTGTCCACACTCTTCCCTTTTTCTGCCACCTCACACACCTTACCTTTTCTGCCTTCTCTGCTGGCTTGATCCTGAGACCCCTTTTCTTCTACATCTCCCCTTAGGCAATTTCCATCAATTCCATGACTTTTTTTTGTTTATTTTTGAGACGGAGTCTCGCTCATGTCGCCCAGGCTGGAGTGCAGTGGCGCGATCTTGGCTCACTACAACCTCTGCCTCCCAGGTTCAATCAATTCTCCTGTCTCAGCCTCCCTGAGTAGCTGGGACTACAGGCAGGCACCACCACACCTGCCTAATTTTTGTATTTTTAGTAGAGACGGGGTTTCACCGTGTTGGCCCGGATGGTCTCGATCTCCTGACCTTATGATCCGCCTGCCTCGGCCTCCCAAAGTGCTGGGATTATAGGCATGAGCCACCGTGCCCGGCCCAGTTCCATGACATGAAGCACATCTGCATACCCCCAAATAGACAATTCTATCCCTGATCAAATATTCAATTGCCTGCTTGACATTAAAGATGAATAGATGCCAAGCACAGTGGCTCATGCCTATAATCCCAACATTTGGGAGGCCAAGGCAGGAAGGTTGCTTGAGCCCAGGATGTCAAGGCTGCCGCGAACTGTGATCGCACCACGGCACTCCATCCAGCCTGGGCGACAGAGCAAGACCGTGTCTCTTGGCTGGGCGCGGTGGCTCATGCCTGTAATCCCAGCACTTTGGGAGGCCGAGGTGGGCGGATCACGAGGTCAGGAGATCGAGACCATCCTGGCTAACACGGTGAAACCCCGTCTCCACTAAAAATACAAAAAAATAGCCGGGCGAGGTGGCGGGCACCTGTAGTCCCAGCTGCTAGGGAGGCTGAGGCAGGAGAATGGCATGAACCCCGGGGGGCAGAGCCTGCAGTGAGCCGAGATCGCACCACTGCACTCCAGCCTGGGCGACAGCAAGACTCCGTCTCAAAAATAAAAAAAAATAAAAATAATAAAGACATTGTCTCTTAAAAAACAACAAAAAACAAAACAAAAAAGAAAACCCGCTATGTTAGGGGAAGTCAGAAGAGTTCTGTTTCTTGAGCTGAACCACTATGTTACTGGCAGTCAGGAGGAGGGAGAAGGGTTCGTCTCTTGAGCTGGTGATGGTTGCACAGCGGTATTTGGTTCATGGAAACATTCATTAAGCTTACATATAGTTAAGACTTGTGTACTTTGCATATTATATTTCAACTACAAATTGTAAAGGAAAACACACTTCAGCAGCTTCCCTTCATACTTGGAATAAAATCCAAACCCTTGCTCTGGTCTGCAAGGACCCTCGTGATCTGGCCCCGCCTGTGTCTCCAGCTCCATCTTCCTGGTTTTCTCTGACTTTGTCACACTCTGGTCACACTGGCCATCTTTCTGCTTCTCCAGTGATCCAAGCCCTTTCCTGCCCCAAAGGCCTTTGCCCGGGCTGCTGCCTCTTCCCCTGTTTCTGAACGGTCAGGTCTTCATACCGTCTATCTCTCAGCTAAATGTCCCCTGGGAAAGGCCACCCTGAGTTACTCAGTATCCCAAAAGCTCTCCAATTTCCTTCATAGTACGTCTCCTTCTGTTTTCTGTATCTGGTCCTTTTTTTTATTTTTATTCTTTTTTTTGAGGCAGAGTCTTGCTCTGTCGCCCAGGCTGGAGTGCAGTGGCGTGATCTCGGTTCACTGCAACCTCTGCCTCCTGGGGTCAAGCAATTATCCTGCCTCAGCCTCCTGAGTAGCTGAGACTACAGGCGCCCGCCACTGCACCCAGCTAATTTTTGTATTTTTCAGTAGAGACGGGGTTTCACCATTTTGGCCAGGCTGGTCTTGAACTCCTGACCTCATGATCCACCCACCTCGGCCTCCCAAAGTGCTGGGATTACAGGCGTGAGCCACCGCGCCCGGCCTGGTCCTTTTTTTTTTCTTCAGGCGGAGTCTTGCTCTGTCGCCCAGGCTGGAGTGCAGCGTCTACCTGTTCGTTGCTGCATCCCCAGGGCTTGGTATTCTGCTGGGTTCATGGGAGGTGCTGAAGAGGTACCTGCTGGGTGGAGGTTACAGTGAAGGCAGCCAGACCAGAGACAGGGAGAGCCTAGCAGGCAATGTCAGGGATCCCAGGAAGTGAAGACGAGGCCCAGACTGGGGCACTGGGAGCTGCAGTGGAGAGGAGGGGAACGCTGAGAAAGACTTGACAAGTGCTGCAGGGCATAGTGGCTCACACCACTCTGGGAGGCCGAGGCGGGCGGATCACCTGAGGTCAGGAGTTCGAGACCAGCCTGACCAACATGGCAAAACCCGGTCTCTACTAAAATACAAAAATTAGCAGTGCGTGGTGGCGCATGCCTGTAATCCCAGCTACTCGGGAGGCTGAGGCAGGAGAATTGCTTGGACCCGGGAGGCAGAGGTTGCAGTGAGCCGAGGTCGCACCGCTGCACTCCAGCCTGGGCTACAGAGCGAGACTCTTTCAAAAAAATAAAAAGGACACACTTGACAAGACAAAAAACACTGTGTTTATCGTGTCCCTAGAGCCTAAAGGATCTGTCCTGAGCTCCTCTCTGACTCCTACTCCTCCTCCCACTCACTCTCTCCACTCCAGCCCCACCGTCCCCTACTTGTCTTGAGCTCCTCGGCAGGACCTCTGCACATGCCGTTCCTCGGCCAGGCCACGCTTCGCCGGGACCTCCATAGTGCCCTCCTTCTTCCCCTTCAAGGCCGTGCTCTCGTGTCACCTTCTCACAAGGCTTTTCCTCCCAGCCCCGCCCCCTCCCCCACTTCACTTTCACCATTGCTCTCCGGCAGCTCATCCTCGGACAGACCATGTATTTCCCTTTGTTGATTTACTATCTCTCTCTCCACACGGCTCGTTTGCAAGAAGCAAGACTCCATGCCAGGCCTCTCTGACTTCCAGGGGCTTGCTCTTAACCGCTGCACATTAGGGCTCCAGGTGGCCGCTGCCACGTGGACCCCCTGCACCTCCAGCAGGGAAGCGTGCCCACCCACATGGTCACCCACGCTGCCCCAGCTCCTGGGCTCTGGCACAGAGGAAGGTGTCAGCCCTGTGCCAAGGTTTCCCCACCTGCTTCCCCCAAATCCTCAGGCACTGACTGTCTCCAGCTGGAGCTGGGTACTCCCGGCAGCCTGCCCCCGGCTGGCGGGCACCAGCTCCTGGCAGAGGGGCTGGTGTGTAATTAGAAGCTCCACAAACTCCCTAATTGCCAGTTCTTCTCCCAAACCAGGAGGCTGGCGCTGTTCTGAGCCGCCCTGTTGCCGGCTGCCTGAGGCATAGAGAGAAGAAGAAGCCAGGAGCAGAGCCAGGCTGGCGTGGAGGTGTCCCGGGGGAGGGCTGGCGAGGTCAGAGGGGACCACGGGGTGGAGGATGCCTGGCGAGCGGCCAGAGGCCAAACGTGGCACTGCGCGGGCTGCCACCCCTGCTGGGCCCAGGGTTCCTCAGCACAGTCCACCCTGCGGCCGCCTCCCTGCCTTCCCCACCATCCTCACTTGTCCCCACCCATGCCCAGAACGGTGACATCAAACCAGCCAGGCCCATTCATTCTTTATTCAGGTGGCATAAAAATCACTACAAAAACCTTACAAAAGAGCCTTAAGGAGCTCATGGGATCCTTCCCTGCCTCGGTTCCTGAGCTCCCGGGCAGAGGAGGGAGACAGGAGAGGAAGGAAGGGAAATGCTGGCAGTGTTGGGATCTCGAGGAGCCGTGGGAAGTCTGGCGTGACAAGGCACAGGGGGTAGGATGGAGGCTGATGGACTCTCGGCAGGTTAGGCCACAGCCAGGCTGTGCCAGACACGAGTTCCACGCGGGGCTGAGGACAACGCTTCGCCTCCCGAGCCACCACCAGGGCCCGTCTCTCCCCACCCTAGCCTAGGTGTCCCGGGACAAGTCCAAAGGCAGCCCTCTCCCCCTCCCTTTTTCTCTGGTAAACAAAAGTCGGGGTGTCCCAGCTGACGTGGGGAGCAGCTAACCTGTCTCCTGGCAGAACTAGAAGCACCTCCCTCCTGCCCAGGCCCCGGTGCAGGACACCCTCTGAGCCTGTTTGGAAGAAAGATGAGGGTCAGGCTCCCGGCTCCCCGATGCCTGCCCTCCTCCCAGCCGCGCCCCCCCCCCACCCTAAACTCCCCAAGAGGTGTTGGGAAAGAATGGCCTCTCTCAGACTGCCCCCGGCCCCTGCCCCAGTGCCACAAAGCCGGTTGGAAAGAGTCACATGAGTGGAGAGGCTGGTCCAGGCAGGGACTCTGGATGCCACAGCCACGGCCCCTCACTTGGGGCTGCCAAACTGGGGGTAATCCTCCTCCATGGGGGGCACAAGTTTTAAGTCAGGGCCGAAAAGCTTGTCTCCGCGGGGGAAGCCTTTCAGGCTCTGGAGGAAGTCCTTGTTGCCCGGGGAATCCTGCTGTTCCTTGAGCTCCCGCGGTGCACTGGGGTTGGGGTTCCTCACGCTGCCCACGAAGAGGGGAAGGCCTGTGGTGTCCTCGAAGATGAAGAAGAGGAAGGGGCGGTTCACGCTGAAGGAGGACAGGGACATGCGGGACATGGCAATGCTGGTGGCCGCCGCCGCCTCCACGCCGACCTCGCTGAGCTCCAGGGTGGACTGATGCTGCACGCCGGACACCACCAGGCTCTGCTCGGAGATCCCACGCAGGTCTGGGGCCTGGAACAACTCCTGCAGGCCTGCCCAGGGCCAGAGATGGCTGGTCAGAGCTGCCCTTGGCCTCACAGGCTCCTGGAGCTGCTTGGGAGGGTGTCTGAGATCCTGGCCAGGGAACAGCTTGAACTCACAGATACCTGCTTCATTCCTATCCGGTTTCCAAGACTCAGCTTAAACACCACCTCCTCCAGGAAGCCTTCCCTGATCCCCAGCTCTAAAGTCCAACCAAGGTACATTTTCAGTGTTCTCCCAGGTGAGCTGGAGAGAAGCCCTCTCTGTCTTATCGCTTATGCTGTAGTAAGTATGTGATTGCTCGTCTGCCCACCCCATTAGACTCAGCTGTTTGTACATGGTGGGCTCCCGGTACCTGGTACAGTGCCTGGAATACAGCAGCTGCTTAGCAAATGGCTGAAGGATAGATGCTTTATTTATTTATTTTAGTTATTATAATTTTTTTTTGAGATGGAGTCTCACTCTGTCATCCAGGCTGGAGTACAGTGGCGTGATCTCGGCTCACTGCAACCTCCTCCTCCCAGGTTCAAGCAATTCTCCTGCCTCAGCCTCCCAAGTAGCTGGGATTATGGGCATGCGCCACCACGCCCGGCTAATTTTTGTATTTTTAGTGGAGACGGGTTTGGCCATGTTGGCCAGGCTGGTCTCAAACTCATGACCTCAGGTGATCCACCCTCTTTGGCCTCCCAAAGTGCTAGGATTACAGACGTGAGCCACCATGCCCGGCCTTTATTTTTATTTTTGAGACAAGGTCTTAGTTCTTTTGCTGAGGCTGGAGTGCAGTGGCACAATTATGGCTCACTGCAGCCTCAGCCACCTGGGGTCAAGAGGGCCTCCCACCTCAACCTCCCCAGTAGCATGCACCACACCTGGCTAATTTTTGTATTTTTTGTAGGGACGGAGTTTCAATGTGTTGCACAGGCTGGTGTCGGACTCCCGGGCTCAAGCAATCCACCCACTTCAGCTTCCCAACGTGCTGGGATTACAGGCATGAGCCACTCCACCCAGCATTTCTTTAACAGTGTGACACCCCAGCTTCTCCTCCTTCCCCTTCCAGGGAAGCCAGCGAGGCTCACATGCCATCCCAGGCTCTCTACCCAGACTCTCCTTGCAATGCGAGGTCTTGGGCAGCAAAGCAGAGCCCCATTCCCCGGGCCACCCCAACTTCCTCTAGGACAGAGGGTCTGGGGGCTCATATTCAACCCTCTCCCCGCTCCCGAAGCCCTGGAAAAGAGCAGGACACAGGACAGCTCTGACTCAGCTCCACTGCCAGCCAGACGCTTCCTCCTTACCCGCCCTGCCCAGCCTGACCTCGGGGGCTCGCCCGCACCCTCCTCCTTACCCAGCTGGCTGAGGGTGGCCACCAGGTCCATTTGGTGTTTCAGATACAGCTTAGGCAGCCGGACCTTGGTGGGCCTCTCCCACACCAGAGGTGGGTGCAGGGTGTCCCAACTCAGGTTGGCCAGTACCTGGGACACGTTCCATTCAAAGTGGGTGGGTACAAGGACCACAAAGCTCATGTTGTTCTTAAAGGGGAAATGAGCCACCTACAGAAAAGGGAAGGGAAGAGCATGAGGACAGAAAGCCCCGAAGCTAAGTGGGGGTGGGGCCAGCAGGTGCTCCTAAGGCAGACAATGGGGCTCCTGGCCATCCTGCCAGGCGTGTGACTGACCCCACTGCTCCTCCACTTCCTCACAGTGGGGTGGAGTCATACTACCTGTCCCACTGCAGGCGGACACGTAACCGAATGAGATGCTTTTAAAGTTTCTAGCAGTGTGGCCGGGCATGGGGGCTCACGCCTGTAATCCTAGCACTTTGGGAGGCCGAGGCAGGCAGATCACCTGAGGTCAGGAGTTCAAGACCAGCCTGACCAACATGGCAAAACCTCATCTCTACTAAAAATACAAAAATGAGCTGGGCTTCTGTGGTGACGGGCGCTTGTAATCGCAGCAACTCGGGAGGCTGAGGCAGGAGAATTGCTTGAACCCGGGAGGCAGAGGTTGCCATGAGCCAAGATCAAGCCACTGCACTCCAGCCTGGGGGACAGGAGTAAAAATCCGTCTCAAAAAAAGAAAAAAAACAACATTGTAGCAGTGTCCGCTGTCACAGACGGTGCTCAATAATACCTGGTGGTTTTCTCTCTTCACCGGCTACCAGCTGGCCGTGTGACCCGGCGTAAGGAATCGCCTGTCTTTGTCTCAGCTTCTCCAGATGTACCACAGACAGGGTCACTGGCTGTCATACCACAGCTGGGTTCTGTGGGTGAGCCACTGCCGAGTGCTGCCCGCCCCACCCTCCCACACCTCCCTCTTGTGACTTTGCCAGCTGTGTAAATATATTGTGATTTGGCTTAAGATTTCTTTTTTTTTCTTTTCTTTTGAGTTGGAGTCTCGCACTGTCGCCCAGGCTGGAGTGCAGTGGCGCAATCTCGGCTCACCGCAACCTCCGCCTCGTGGATTCACGCCATTCTTCTGCCTCAGCCTCCCGAGTAGCTGGGATTACAGGTGCCCGCCACTACGCCCGGCTAATTTTTTGTATTTTTAGAAGAGATGGGGTTTCACCGTGTTAGCCAGGATGGTCTCAATCTCCTGACCTCGTGATCCACCTGCCTTGGCCTCCCAAAGTGCTGGGATTACAGGCATGAGCCTGTAAACCACACCCAGCCTCTTTTTTTTTTTTTTTCAAGACAGAGTTTCACTCTTATTGTCCAGGCTGGAGTGCAGTGGCATGATCTTGGCTCACTGCAACCTCTGCCACCCGGGTTCAAGTGATTCTCCTGCCTCAGCCTCCCGAGTAGCTGGGACTACAGGCGCTCACCATCTCACCTGGCCAATTGATGTATTTTTAGTAGAGACGGGGTTTCACCATGTGGGCCAGGCTGGTCTCAAACTCCAGACCTCAGGTGATCCACCTGCCTCAGCCTCCCACAGTGCTGGGATTACAGGCGTGAGCCACCGTGCCCAGCCATTAAGATTTGATTTGAAGGGATTCTGCAGCAAAAGCAGTGTGGACACCACAGGGCTCGAGGGCCTCCTGCAGCTGTGACTCCTTGGGTTCCAGGCAGAGTACCCGTGTGGAGAACCCCTGCCCGTGGGAGGATAAGCCCCGGGTTCTGGCTGTTTGGGCCTGTCTGCAGAGGGCCTGAGGACAAGAAAGGCTGACGGGGCCTAAGGAAAGGAGACGAAGGATGAAGGAAGAGTACGCAGGACACAGCCTGGAGGAAAGGGGAAGCAGGAAAGGGGAGCCTCGGGGAGGTGGATCAGACTGGCCTTTCAGAATGAGCTGCAGGGAAGCCAGGACGCGTTCCCGGGCCAGCCTCACCCACAGCCCCCTCCCAGGAGGGCTGCCCAAGTGGCTTCTGGCTCCTCCCTGCAGAAGTGGCTGTGCTCTGTGTCACACTTGCCTTGGGAAGCTAACAAATACAGCCATCTCAGCCACAGCTGTCTGGCCCGGGGATCAATACCCAGGCCAAGGGGACCACATTTAGGCTAGAAGCAAGAGAGGCCACACCTGAGACAGCCTGGCACGGAATTTTATCCAATCAGAGCTGGGCGCAGTGGCTCCTGCCTATAATCCCAGCACTTTGGGAGGCCAAGGCGGGCGGATCACTTGAGGTCAGGAGTTTGAGATCAGCCTGGCCAACATGGTGAAACCTGTCTCTACTAAAAAAAAAAAATACAAAAATTGGCCGGGCACGGTGGCTCACACCTGTAATCCCAGCACGTTGGGAGGCTGAGGCAGGCGGATCACGAGGTCAGGAGATTGAGACCATCCTGGCCAATATGGTGAAACCCCGTCTCTACTAAAAATACAAAAATTAGCTGGGCATGGTGGCGGGCGCCTGTAGTCCAAGCTACTCGGGAGGCTGAGGCAGGAGAATCCCTTGAACCCGGGAGGTAGAGATTGCAGTGAACCGAGATTGCACCACTGCACTCCAGTCTGGGCGATAGAGAGAAACTCCGTCTCAAAAACAAACAAACAAACGAACAAAATTAGCCAGGCGTGGTGGTGCATGCCTGTAGTTCCAGCTACTCGAGAGGTTGAGGCAGGAGAGTGGCTTGAACCCAGGAGGCAGAGGCTGCAGTGAGCCGAGATCGTGCCACTGCACTCCAGCCTGGGTGACAGAGCAAGACTCTGTCTCAAAAAAAAAAAAAAGAAGTTTATCCAATCAGAATGTTCCACGCAAGATGCTGAGAAATCCAATCCAATCAGATCCTCCTTTCTAAGGAGCACTGTGTGAGCGCCCCGTGGAATCTCCCAGGCTGGGGGCTGCAGAGACCCTGAGTGGCTACATGGCCGTGGGGTGGTCCCTGTGCTGCCCCAAAGTCCATGGGCCCTTGTAATAAACCCTTATCAACAACGGTCACCTGAGTCTCAATTCAATGCCCCCTCCTCACAGAATTCTCCCTTACCACTCTAAAATGCCTAAATAAGGCCAGGCCTGGTGGCTCATGCCCGTAATCCCAGCACTTAGGGAGGCCGAGGTGGGCAGATGACCTGAGGTCAGGAGTTCAAGGCCAGCCTTTGTTTTTTCTGAGTCGGAGTCTCAATCTGTCTCCCAGGCTGGAGTGCAGTGGTGCGATCTCAGCCCACTGCAGCCTCCGTCTCCCGGGTTCAAGTGATTCTCCTGCCTCAGCCTCCAGAGTATCTGGGATTACAGGCGCCCGCCACCATGGCTGGCTAATTTTTGTATTTTTAGTAGAGACGGGGCTTTGCTATGTTGGTCAGGCTGGTCTCGAACTCCTGACCTCAAAATCACAGCTCACTGCAACCTTTCCCTCCTGGGTTCAAGTGATTCTCCTGCCTCAGCCTCTGGAGTAGCTGGGATTACAGGCACCTGCCACCACGCCTGGCTAATTTTTGTATTTTTAGTAGAAACGGGGTTTCAAATCTTGGCCAGGCTGGTCTCAAACTCCTGACCTTATGATCCACCTGCCTGGGCCACCCAAAGTGCTGGGATTACAGGCGTGAGCCACCGCTCCCGGCCAAAATCACCTTCTTTTTCAGCTTTCCCTCCACAGCGCTTCCCAGCGTCTGGAATTCCTGTGTTGATGTCCATTCACTGTTGCACTGTGTATCCTCCTTCCTAAGAGCAGAGACCTGGCCTCCCTCATGCTCCACAAAAACCCTAGTGCTTAGAACAGTATCTGGAACACAGCAAATGCCCAGTATATTTTCACTGAATTACTAAACCTCAAAGAGCCTGGAGCCTCAGTCCTCCTGCCAGGTAGGATGGGGGATCATGGGACCTTTTGCAGTTGCCTGCCTAGGGGACGTGGAGGCAAGGAAGGCGAGACAGCCTCCACCCATCCCTGTGCCTGCTCCACAGCCTGTCCACTCCCTTCCCCACCTCCCAGCCTCAGGCCCAGCCTGCTGGACAACCAAGGGTGACCTGGATCTCAGGCTGCTCCAGCAAGAACCAGCGCAGCGGGTACGTGCGGGCCTGCATCATTTCCACGGGCACCGTGAACTGCTCGTCCAGGTGGAAGGAGTCTCTCTGGGTAAGGCTCGGGTCAAACTTGTTCCTCCAGAAACCTGAAACCCAGCAGAGGGCAGGGGTCACGTCGACGGGGACCAGCTTGGGGCAGAGGGCAGGGGTCACGTCGATGGGGACCAGCTTGGGCTCTGCACCCCCAGCCCGTTGCCTGTCCCACCCAGAATCCATTCAAGGATGAGACAGCGGTGGAGGCCAAGACCCCAGGGAATGCTAGCTGGCATCCAATTGATCTAAGGTCTCTTTCCCGTAGCATTTTTGAAATCTGGGCTTGTGTTTTCCCCAACCCCTGCAATTCTCCTAGGAACCTCCTCCTGGATCTTTTTTTTTTTTTTTAGACGGAGTCTCGCTCTGTCGCCCAGGCTGGAGTGCAGTGGCACGACCTCCGCTCACTGCAAGCTCCACCGCCTCCCGGGCTCACGCCATTCTCCTGCCTCAGCCTCCCGAGTAGCTGGGACTACAGGTGCCCGCCACTACGCCCAGCTAATTTTTTTGTATTTTTAGCAGAGACGGGGGTTTCACCGTGTTAGCCAGGATGGTCTCCATCTCCTGACCTCATGATCTGCCCGCCTCGGCCTCCCAAAGTGTTGGGATTACAGGCGTGAGCCACCGCGCCCAGCCCCTCCTGGATCTTTTCAGACCATTTGTTCCCAGGGTATTCACTCTAGAACAACTCATCTGGCTCCTGGGCACCCATCCCCACCACACCCAGACAGCCTCCTGCCTCATGGCCCAGACTGAGGAAGAAAGGAGACCCTCAGAACAAAGCCTGCATGGCCGGGCGCGGTGGCTCACGCCTGTAATCCCAGCACTTTGGGAGGCCGAGGTGGGTGGATCACCTGAGGTCAGGAGTTCAAGGCCAGCCTGGCCAACATGGTGAAACCCTGTCTCTACTAAAATACAAAAATTAGCTGGGTGTGGTGGCAGATGCCTGTAATCCCAGCTACTGGGGAGGCTGAGCCAGGAGAATCGCTTCAATCCGGGAGGCGGAGGTTGCAGGGAGCCGAGATCGCGCCACTGCGCTCCACCCTGGGTGACAGAGCGAGACTTGTCTCAAAAAACAAAAAGGCCTGCACGTCCCAGCTCAGCCTACAGGGTGGGGGATCTGAGAGGAGGAGGAGCGCACCCTGGAAGTGGATGGCGTTGAGGAGAAGCAACACGGTGTCTTCCGGCAGCCCAGAGAGGAATTCCTGAATCTTCCCCTCCGTGGCCTCCTTCACCCATTGGTTGATGTTTGCCAGGTCATCTTCCTGCTTTCCCGTCAGGCTCACGGGCTTTGCCCCAAATAGCTGTTCGGATTGTTCCAGGAAATCTTCTTTGATGGGAAATCCTGCACGGAGGCAGCACAAGCTGTTCCCAGGGCTCCAGGCTCCACAGCCAGACACGCCCCTACTCGCTACCAGAGGCCCAGCCCCTTGCTCTCACCCTCCTCCACCCAGGGCAGGACTGAGGGAGCTCCCTGCCATCAGCGCCTACCTTTCTGCAGGTACATCCTGGCAGCCAGTCGGAACGCGCCGGGGCCCAGGTCCTGGCAGAGGCGGCTCAGCAGATGGGGGAGGCAGGGCCCTGAGCCTGCGTGCAGCACCTGTTGCAGCCTCTGCAACGTGTGGTTCTGAGCACCTGGAGGGCACCGCACAGGCTGAGGCCCGGCTGCGGGTCCTTTCTCACCCCCACTGCCCACTCCAGTCCCTCCTGGATACCCGTGACGAGGACGTCCACGGGACCACACGCCATCCTTCCACAGCCACGGATCTGTTCTGCGTGGCTCTCACCCCTGTGGCTGACAGGCTGGGTGACCTCACCCCCCACAAGTTACCTTCCCTCTCTGGGCTTCCGTTTCCCACAGTGAGACCCTCCAGCACAGTGGGAAAGAGTGTAGCTAGCAAACTCTTGCATAAGAATCACCAGGAGGGGCCGGGCGCGGTGGCTCACGCCTGTAATCCCAGCACTTTGGGAGGCTGAGGCAGGTTGATCACCTTAGGTCGAGAGTTCGAGACCACCCTGGCCAACATGGTGAAACCCCGTCTCTACTAAAAATACAAAAATCAGCTGTGCATGGTGGCTGGTGCCTGTGATCCCAGCTATTTGGGAGGCTGAGGCAGGAGAATTGCTTGAACCTGGGAGACAGAGGTTGCAGTGAGCTGAGATCACACCACTGCACTCTAGCCTGGGTGACAGAGCAAGACTCTGTCTCAAAAAAAAAAAAAAAATCACCAGGAGGACTTGTAAATAAGCAGATTCCCCGGCCCAGTCCCTGAGATCTGATTCACATAGACAGATGGGTGGGGGCCCAGGAATCTGCATTTGTTGTTGTTGTTGTTTGAGACGGAATCTTGCTCTGTCACCCAGGCTGGAGTGCAGTGGCGCCATCTCGGCTCACTGTAACCTCCAACTCCCAGGTTCAAACAGTTCTCTGCCTCAGCCTCCTGAGTAGCTGGAATTACAGGTGCGCACCACCACGCACAGCTAAATTTTTTGTATTTTTAGTAGAGAGAGTTTCACCATGTTGGCCAGGCTGGTCTTGAACTCCTGACCTCGTGATCCACCCGCCTCAGCCTCCCAAAGTGTTGGGATTACAGGCGTGAGCCACCGCCCCGGCCTAGGAATCTGCATTTTTACCAAACAGCCACGTGACCCTGGTGGAGGAACCGCCCGCGGAGAACCATTGGAGTACTGAGTTCCTACTGGCCTCCCAGCTCTCTTGGTCTGGACAAGTGGTGCCAGGGTACCTAGTGCCAGGTGAGACAGCGCCAGGGCCACACTCAGGGGTGACAGGATGAGGTTGGGGCAGGTGGACGTTTGAGCCACCAGGGAGAACAGGTCGGCAGTGAAGGCCATCATGGCCCGGGCCAGCCTGTGGGTCTGCTCTGGGGTGGGGTCTCTGCTGCAGACTCCTGGGGGACTCTTCAGGGCAGTCTGGCCACCAGGCTCCTGCAGGGACAGATCAGGGGTCAGGGAGGTCAAGGGGTCAGCTCCAGGTTCTGTGTTGAAGGCCTTGTCACAGCCCCTGTGCCTGAGGACAGCAGGGCCTTGTCCCAGCCCCAGGGAAGAGGGAGCGTCAGACGGAGGGCACTGGCATTCTGGGGCCTGGCGCCCACCTTCGGTCCTCCCCACCCTCTCTCCCTTCTGGCCTCTGGACTCCAGAGCCTCAGCCTCAGCACGCGCCCCCACCCCCCGACCCCTGCCGATGGGCCCTCCTCCCTCTAGCCCCGCCCACTCTTCCCCAGCCCCACCTGGTTGTACCTGGTTGCCCAACTTGAGGAGGGTAAGTGGGGACACCTGCTCCTGGTTCGGCCCGCTAGTTAGCTGCGGAAAGGAGCAAGCAGATGGAGACCGACCCTTCCCACAGGCCCCCCACCCTGCCCAAGCCACCAGTGAGACCCCCGGGACCTTCCCCCCATCACAGGCTCCTCACTCCCCAGTACCTGCCGGCCCAAGGGCTCCATGGCGCTCACAGGGGAGAACTGTGGAGAAAGGGATGAGGATAGGAGGTCCCCTCGGAGCCAAGCCCTCCCTCCATGCCAACGCCCCTCTTCTTCCCCCTCCACCCCACCCCACCTTGACTTCAGCCCAGCCTCACCACGGAGCAGGGGCCTTGCAGGCAGGACCAGCTGAGCACCAGGAGCCCCCAGAGCAGCGCCATGTTCCTGTGGCAGGGACAGAAAGCTCTGTTCCCATCTCACATCCCCACGCCCGCCAGGGAATCCTACCCACGCGATCACAGATAACGCCAAGTCCTGGGTCATGATTGCCAAGGGGAAGAAGCAGGCTCCAGAATCAGAACAGACCCCAAACACACGAGCAGCGGCTCCCACTCCTGCAGCTGGGACATCCGCCCTGGCTTCTCCCCCTTTTTAGTTTCTGGTGTTTCATATTTCATGCATTTCATGCACTGAGGGTGTTTTGGTGAATAGGAGGGAGATACCAAATCAAAAACGTTCTCATTCTACAAGGCCCTGCGCTGTGAATCAGATCTGTGTCTGAATCCAGGCTACCTCTTGCCAAAGGACCTCGGCATTTCCCGTAACTCCACCAGGCTTGGCCTTACCTTGTAAAACGGTGGCACAAGTCCCTCACTCTTCTCACATGCATGGTGAGGACCAAAATAAGACCGTCTTTTTGGGATTTTTTGTTGTTTATTTTTTGAGACGGAGTTTCGCTCTCGTTGACCAGGCTGGAGTGCAGTGGCAGGATCTCGGCTCACCGCAACCTCCACCTCCCAGGTTCAAGCGATTCTCCTGCTTCAGCCTCCCGAATAGCTGGGATTACAGGCATGCACCACCACGCCTGGCTAATTCTGTATTTCTTAGTAGAAACGGGGTTTCTCTGTGTTAGTCAGGCTGGTCTTAAACTCCCGACCTCAGGTGATCCTCCTGCCTCGGCCTCCCAAAGTACTGGGATTACAGGCATGAGCCACTGCACCCGGCAAAAGACCATCTTTGTGGCCAGGCACGGTGGCTCAAGCCTGTAATCCCAGCACTTTGGGAGGCCAGGGGCAGGTGGATCACCTGAGGTCGGGAGTTCAAGACCAGCCTGGCCAACATGGTAAAACCCCATCTCTACTGAAAATACAAAATTAGCCAGGCGTGGTGGTGGGCCCCTGTAATCCCAGCTACTCGGGAGGCTGAGGCAGAGAACTGCTTGAACCCGGGAGGCGGAGGTTGCAGTGAGCCGAGATCACGCCACTGCACTCCAGCCTGGGCGACAGAGCAAGACTCTGTCTCAAAAAAATAAATAAGACCATCTTTGTAAACCCTGAGTACAATGCTTGGCACTCCCCCGATGGCTGGGGTCAGCTTGGCTCAAGGCCACCTCTTCTGGGAAGCCTGCCCTGAAGCCTCCACCGCAGAGCTCCAACACAGAGCTCCTACCCAGCCTGCTGCATCCATTTAGCCTGTCTTTTTTTTTTTTTTTTTTTTTTTTGAGATGGAGTTTCATTCTTATCATGCAGGCTGGAGTGCAATGGCACGATCTCGGCTCACTGCAACCTCCACCTCCTGGGTTAAAGCGATTCTCCTGCCTCAGCCTCCCGAGTAGCTGGGATTACAGGCATGTGCCACCATGCCTGGCTAATTTTGTATTTTTAGTAGAGACAGGGTTTCTCCATGTTGGTCAGGCTGGTCTCGAACTCCTGACCTCAGGTGATCCACCTGCCTCAGCCTCCCAAAGTGCTGGGATGACAGGCATGAGCCACCACGCCTGGCCCCAACCCGTCTTTCTCAGGCTGGTCAGGTCTTGCCCACAAGGCTGGACATACCTGTGAGGCCCTGAGGTCTCACCATGGGTGGCAAGGCAGCCAGAGAGCTGCCTTTTGACCCAGCAGCAGAGCCCAGTGAATGACTCTGGCCAGAGCCACCTCTGCACTTAGGAGCATCACAGGCCTCTGCTCCAGGCTGGCTCTGGGAAGGGCAGGTGTTGGTCTCAGGAGGATAAGTCAGAGCAGGTCTCAGCTACCTCCAGCCCACCCCCATCTTGGGGCCAACCCTTCTGGAGGATCCTTTGGTCCCCCCGGCCCCACCCCCATCCCACACAAGAGCCCTTGGCCAGGGCCCCGACTCCGACCTGGGCATTAGAATCTTCTTGCCAAGAACAGGCTCCAGTTTTTCAAGTCCCAGAAGAGGCTGGGGAGTGACAGGCCTCCTGAATAAATCCCAGACCCCTCAGCCAGGGAGGCAGCTCCCTCCTCCTCTCCTACCCAAGGAGCAGGCCGAGCAGCCCCTCCCCTCATACCTCTGCGGGCTCCTTGCTGCCACACACAACGTTCCTCTGGCCCCACTTGGGTGCTCCTCACTCTCTGCCCAGGCTCCAGCTGGCCCAGCCCACCCCTCCCCTCCCACCAGGACCTTTACTCTCAGCCAACCCCTGTTCAGATTGCTTTCTCTTCTGGTAAATATTGACTTGCACATCCAGTTAAACATTGATCTTGAAGCCAGAAGCCCCTTTCCCACCAGGGCATCTAACCCTGAGGCAGCCACGCAGAACCCCCTATATTTGGGTCCCCCCCCCCGAGCCTGGAAAGAGAAAGTTCAGGAGGAGAGAGTTGAAGAGACTGGATCTGGCTAGCCAAGAGGGCGGATCCAGAAAGCACAGGAACCTAGCACTGTGTTAAGCCTTCCAGAGACCCCACGAGGTGTGGATTATCCCTGGTTCAGCCAGGCTCAGAGAGGCCATGTGACCTGCCCAAGGACACAGAGCTGGGCTGAGGCACATCCAGATTCTCACTCCCAATGTCCTTTCTTCTCCCAGAGAGCTGCCTCCCGCTCCTGAGGGGAGGAAAGGGGAAGCCACAAGAGCCTATGCAGAGAGCCCAGGATAGGAAGCCCACCCCCAACCTTCCAAGCCCAGGATCAGGTTGGCTGCCTTCAGACTGGGATGGAAGGCAGGGGGTGAGGGAGGAGAAATGAGAGGGACTCAACTTCTCCCACCGTCCTGCCACTCCAGAGCAATGTCTCTTTCCCCTACCCAAGAGCGAGGGTTCTGGAAACTGACCTGGGGCTGTATGAACCAGAAGCCTGGCAGCCCGTGCAAAGATCAGGCTGCTTCCCACCCTCACTGTCCGGCTCCTCACTCCCTGCATCAGGCTCCTTCCCACCCTCACTGTCCTGCTCCTCACTCCCTGTATCAGGCCCCTTCCCACCCTCACTGTCCTGCTCCTCACTCCCTGCATCAGGCCGCTTCCCGCCCTCACACCTGCTCCTCACTCCCTGCATCAGGCTCCTTCCCACCCTCACTGTCCGGCTCCTCACTCCCTGCATCAGGCTCCTTCCCACCCTCACTGTCCGGCTCCTCACTCCCTGCATCAGGCTCCTTCCCACCCTCACTGTCCTGCGCCTCACTCCCTGCATCGGGCCACTTCCCACCCTCACTGTCCTGCTCCTCACTCCCTGCATCAGGCCGCCTCCCACCCTCACTGTCCGGCTCCTCACTCCCTGCATCAGGCCGCCTCCCACCCTCACTGTCCTGCTCCTCACTCCCTGCATCAGGCTCCTTCCCACCCTCACTGTCCTGCGCCTCACTCCCTGCATCAGGCCACTTCCCACCCTCACTGTCCTGCTCCTCACTCCCTGCATCAGGCTCCTTCCCATCCTCACTGTCCAGCTCCTCACTCCCTGCATCAGGCTCCTTCCCACCCTCACTGTCCGGCTCCTCACTCCCTGCATCAGGCTCCTTCCCACCTTCACTGTCCTGCTCCTCACTCCCTGCATCAGGCTCCTTCCCACCCTCACTGTCCTGCGCCTCACTCCCTGCATCAGGCTCCTTCCCACCCTCACTGTCTTGCGCCTCACTCCCTGCATCAGGCCCCTTCCCACCTTCACTGTCCTGCGCCTCACTCCCTGCATCAGGCTCCTTCCCACCCTCACTGTCCGGCTCCTCACTCCCTGCATCAGGCCCCTTCCCACCCTCACTGTCCTGCGCCTCACTCCCTGCATCAGGCCCCTTCCCACCCTCACTGTCCTGCGCCTCACTCCCTGCATCAGGCTCCTTCCCACCCTCAGTGTCCGGCTCCTCACTCCCTGCATCAGGCCCCTTCCCACCCTCACTGTCCTGCGCCTCACTCCCTGCATCAGGCCCCTTCCCACCCTCACTGTCCTGCGCCTCACTCCCTGCATCAGGCTCCTTCCCACCCTCACTGTCCGGCTCCTCACTCCCTGCATCAGGCCCCTTCCCACCCTCACTGTCCTGCGCCTCACTCCCTGCATCAGGCCCCTTCCCACCCTCACTGTCCTGCGCCTCACTCCCTGCATCAGGCCACTTCCCACCCTCACTGTCCTGCGCCTCACTCCCTGCATCAGGCCACTTCCCACCCTCACTGTCCTGCGCCTCACTCCCTGCATCAGGCTCCTTCCCACCCTCACTGTCCTGCGCCTCACTCCCTGCATCAGGCTCCTTCCCACCCTCACTGTCCTGCGCCTCACTCCCTGCATCAGGCCGCCTCCCACCCTGACTGTCCTGCTCCTCACTCCCTGCATCAGGCTCCTTCCCACCCTCACTGTCCTGCGCCTCACTCCCTGCATCAGGCCGCCTCCCACCCTCACTGTCCTGCGCCTCACTCCCTGCATCAGGCTCCTTCCCACCCTCACTGTCCGGCTCCTCACTCCCTGCATCAGGCTCCTTCCCACCCTCACTGTCCGGCTCCTCACTCCCTGCATCAGGCCGCCTCCCACCCTCACTGTCCTGCTCCTCACTCCCTGCATCAGGCTCCTTCCCACCCTCACTGTCCTGCGCCTCACTCCCTGCATCAGGCCCCTTCCCACCCTCACTGTCCTGCGCCTCACTCCCTGCATCAGGCTCCTTCCCACCCTCACTGTCCGGCTCCTCACTCCCTGCATCAGGCTCCTTCCCACCCTCACTGTCCTGCGCCTCACTCCCTGCATCAGGCCACTTCCCACCCTCACTGTCCTGTGCCTCACTCCCTGCATCAGGCTCCTTCCCACCCTCACTGTCCTGCGCCTCACTCCCTGCATCAGGCTCCTTCCCACCCTCACTGTCCTGCGCCTCACTCCCTGCATCAGGCCGCCTCCCACCCTCACTGTCCTGCTCCTCACTCCCTGCATCAGGCTCCTTCCCACCCTCACTGTCCTGCGCCTCACTCCCTGCATCAGGCCGCCTCCCACCCTCACTGTCCTGCGCCTCACTCCCTGCATCAGGCTCCTTCCCACCCTCACTGTCCGGCTCCTCACTCCCTGCATCAGGCCACCTCCCACCCTCACTGTCCTGCTCCTCACTCCCTGCATCAGGCTCCTTCCCACCCTCACTGTCCGGCTCCTCACTCCCTGCATCAGGCTCCTTCCCACCCTCACTGTCCTGCGCCTCACTCCCTGCATCAGGCCCCTTCCCACCCTCACTGTCCTGCGCCTCACTCCCTGCATCAGGCTCCTTCCCACCCTCACTGTCCTGCGCCTCACTCCCTGCATCAGGCCGCCTCCCACCCTCACTGTCCTGCGCCTCACTCCCTGCATCAGGCCACTTCCCACCCTCACTGTCCTGCTCCTCACTCCCTGCATCAGGCTCCTTCCCACCCTCACTGTCCTGCGCCTCACTCCCTGCATCAGGCTCCTTCCCACCCTCACTGTCCTGCGCCTCACTCCCTGCATCAGGCTCCTTCCCACCCTCACTGTCCTGCGCCTCACTCCCTGCATCAGGCCGCTTCCCGCCCTCACACCTGCTCCTCACTCCCTGCATCAGGCCACTTCCCACCCTCACTGTCCTGCTCCTCACTCCCTGCATCAGGCTCCTTCCCACCCTCACTGTCCGGCTCCTCACTCCCTGCATCAGGCTCCTTCCCACCCTCACTGTCCTGCTCCTCACTCCCTGCATCAGGCTCCTTCCCACCCTCACTGTCCTGCGCCTCACTCCCTGCATCAGGCTCCTTCCCACCCTCACTGTCCTGCGCCTCACTCCCTGCATCAGGCCGCCTCCCACCCTCACTGTCCGGCTCCTCACTCCCTGCATCAGGCTCCTTCCCACCCTCACTGTCCTGCGCCTCACTCCCTGCATCAGGCTCCTTCCCACCCTCACTGTCCTGCGCCTCACTCCCTGCATCAGGCTCCTTCCCACCCTCACTGTCCTGCGCCTCACTCCCTGCATCAGGCTCCTTCCCACCCTCACTGTCCTGCGCCTCACTCCCTGCATCAGGCTCCTTCCCACCCTCACTGTCCTGCGCCTCACTCCCTGCATCAGGCTCCTTCCCACCCTCACTGTCCTGCGCCTCACTCCCTGCATCAGGCTCCTTCCCACCCTCACTGTCCTGCGCCTCACTCCCTGCATCAGGCCGCCTCCTACCCTCACTGTCCTGCTCCTCACTCCCTCCATCAGGCCCCTTCCCACCCTCACTGTCCTGGAAACTGCTGGGTCTCGACTTTCCCCACCCTGACACCACCAGCAAGATAAGCCTCAGGCTGGGCGTGGTGGCTCATGCCTGTAATCCCAACACTTTGGGAGGCCGAGGCAGGAGGATCGCTTGAGCCCAGGAGTTGGAGACCAGCTTGGGCAACATAGTCAGACTCCATCTCTATTGAAAAAAAAAAAAAAGACAAGCCTCAGTTCACCCCATGGCTCTTCCAAAGGATTTATTGGTCCTATTTACATCTATTGCAAATTGTGAGAAGGCAGCAGGGGCCAACCCCTGGACCTCATCTCTGTCTAGAATGTGAGGTCGCAGGGATGCTTAAGTCTTCCTCTGGCAGAGACCCGAGGTGCAGAGATGATTCTTCTCACCCCTTCTCTCAGGGTCGTGGAGCCCCAGCAGGGGTTCAGGGCCCAGAGGCTGCCCCCTCAGCTGAAGGCACAAACACTGTGGTAGGGGTGGGCAGACAACGCATGGACTCACTCCTGGCAGGCGCCACTGGCCAAGTGCACCTTTTCCCCCTGCTCCTAGCCTCCTTCTTCCTTCCCGTCCCGGTCCCACACTGGCCAGGGCCTGGATGGGTGGCCACTTAAACCCCAGACCCAAGCCCTTAACTCCTGGACCACGGCCAGCCTTCCTTAGGCTGGAATCCAAGCACCATCAGTGCCCTGGACCAGGCCAGCTTCCCTGTCCTAGAGGGATGGGACAGAGAGTGCCCAGCGGGGGCTGAGGGGCTAGAGACCGGCTGGGCAGGGCCAGTCTCCCTTCCCCTTCCCGAGCTTCCCTGTCCTCATGTGGACCCAGAGGGCAGAGCTGGGGAGAAGTGAAGGTAGCAACGCTTCCTCCTGCTCTTAACTTCCTGCTTGCTAGGAGCCCTGTGTCCCCAAGCCATGAATGAGACCCCTCTGGCAGGCTTGGTGGCTCTGGTGATTCAGGGGCCAGGACTCCCCCACTCCATTTGCAGGCCCTAGTTGGCAGGCCATGTGGGCACCCAGGGCGTGGGACCCAGGGCCTCCCTGGAGGGAGCTGCTGCTCAGGGAACAGGGTGAGTGGACACGCGCCCGCAGATGTCTTCCCACCCTTGCCCGGCCAGCTCCTGCCTCAGTCTATGCCAGGAGGCGGATAACCCCGTTGTCTGAGCCCAGCAGGAGGTGGCGTTTAGTGGGCAGCAAGGCCAGGCTGGTGAGCGTGCCGCGGAAGTTCTCAGAGCTGAGCTTCGTGGTGGCCTGCGAGGGTGGCTCAAGCAGGGAGCAGACGCCAATCTTGTTGGACACGGTGCCAGTGACCACCTCGCTGCCGTACAGGTCAAAGGTGTGGATGGGGTCGGATGCTGACTTGTAGTGATGGGTGGGCTTCTGCTCCAGCTCCTTCCAGACGGTCAAGGAATGGTCAGAGGAGGAGCTGACCAGGACGCTGCCCTCCACCGCCTGTCCCGGGAGAGGAGAGCCTCAGCAGGAGCCTGGGTCCTTCTGCATACCCTTGGGCCCCAAGGCCTTCCCAGTTCCCTCCGCAGTTTCTCTCCAGGGAGACAGGCCGTCCTGGGTGGGTGACAAGCCGCCACCCTCCCACACACACCATATTCACGTTGGTTCATTTTAATACGCTCAGCATCCGTAACCCAGTCGTCACTCTAACTTGAGAACTACGCACAGGCATGGTGCCAGGCGTGCACGTGACGACCTTGACCTTCGTAACAACCCTATGCGGTGGATGCTGCCATTGTCCCCATTTCACAAACAGGAAAAGTGAGGCTCAGAGAAGTGAAGTAACCATACCAAGGTCATGGGGCCAGCAAGCAGCAGAGCTGGGATTAACACCCAGGCTGACCCCAGAGCCCTCCTGACACTTTCTTGGAAAGTTAGAATTTGGGGGCACCTTGAGCTGAGGGTTCCCTGGGGCTCTGGAGGGAGCCAGCGACAGCCTGCTGTCAGCAGGGCAATGCAAGACTCCTGGCCTCCAGCCAAGCTGGGGAGGAAAGTCCCAGCTGCCTGCAGAAATCCTCCCACACGAAGCCCTGTTCCTCCCCTCCTGGGCCTCCCTGAGCAGCTCCCCGAGGCCTGTGACTGAGAATGGAGGGAGGGGGAGGGGAAGGAGACGGGGACAGGATCCCCATGCCCAGGCGTGCTCCTGCCCCCAGCCAGGGCAGCCCGGCAGGGCCATGGACTCTGCTCAGCGGTCTACAGGCAGTAAACAGCCTCCCAGCTCAGCTTTATTTAACCTGAACTAGGTCACGGACAGGGCCTGACCCCTGATCCTCCAAGCAAGACAAATATGGACAAGGGTTACTCATTAGAACATCGCCATGAGCAACAGGGTCAGCCCTGCCCCATAGCTCCCGCCCCACTGCCCCGTGGCTCCCGCCCCCATGGCCTGCCTCCTGCTGAGACCCCTGCAGTGCAACTGGCTCCCAAGGTGGACCGAGAGGGCTACCCTCCCTGCCCAGTTAGTCCTGGACCAGGTATATAAGACAGACCAGTTCGAGCCTGAACCCGGGCAGGCAGACCCTAAGCAGGGGTGATGGCTGGACAGGGGCGGGGGTTGGGCAGCAAGGGGAGGGAGACCCGGCCCGTCACCTTGATCTGCAGAATGTCCCCCTCGTGGGCTGGCCAGCCTCGCAGAACCAGGCCTGTGCGGGTGTCCAGGAGCACCATGAAGCCTGAGGAGAAGCCGGCCACGACACTACGGCCACTGGGGCTGATGGCCAGGGCACGGACAAGCCCAGGGTTCAGCCCACCGCCCAGTCGGAACTCGTGCTGCAGGGAGAGGGCGGCTGAGCTGAGGCACCACCTTCCCATCTCACACTCCCCAAGGCCCTGCCCACCACCCAAGCCCACACAGCAGGAAGGCCTGAGCCTCTGACCCTCATCAGGGGGCATGAAAAGCCCAGAACCCCACCCCCATCACAGGCCAGAGTCCTGCCCCGCAGGATGTGTGGCTGTGGGTGATCTAGCACCAAAGAGAAACTAACTAGGGCCCCAGAACAACATCCTGGCTTTCTGTTTTTGGGGAGTCTCTCCTCCTTGCCAGGTCCCCAGAGAACCAGGCGAGTGCTCAGGGAACTGGACCCCCCTGACCTGCAGACCAGGCTTCCTGCAGTCCACAAAGCGCAGGGTAGAGTCAGAGCTGGCCATGGTGATGCTGGTGTGGGGGGCGGGCATGACAGCCACCGCAGTCAGGGGCACCCGGCTGTCCAGCGGCTCCACTGTGCGAAGGGTCTTCCCTGGGAAGGAAAGTCACAGTGGATCTGGGGTCCCAGCAGCTGACGGAAGAGCCCTGGGAGCTTCTAATCCCCCAACTCACCGCACACCTGCCTCCCGTCCCCCAGGGATCCTTAGAAAATGCTAAAGATGTTTCTCTTTTTTTGAGATGGAGTCTCGCTTTGTCGCCCAGGCTGGAGTGCAGTGGTGCAATCTCGGCTCACTGCAACCTCCACCTCCCAGGTTCAAGCAATTCTCTTGCCTCAGCCTCCCGAATAGCTGGGACTACAGGCGTCCGCCACCACGCCTGGCTAATTTTTTGTATTTTTGGTAGAGACGGGGTTTTACCATGTTAGCCTGGATGGTCTCGATCTCCTGACCTCATGATCCACCCACTTTGGCCTCCCAAAGTGCTGGGATTACAGGCGTGAGCCACCGCGTCCGGCCTTTTTTTGTATTCTTAGTAGAGATGGGGTTTCACCATGTCAGCCAGTCTGGTCTCCAACTCCTGGCCTCCCAGAGTGCTGAGATTACAGGCGTGAGCCACTGCATCGGCCTAAAGATGTTTCTTGACTCTCCCACCTTCCTGCTTCCATGGCCCGGCCAGGCTCCCATCCCCAAAGCAACCTCCTCTCTCTGCACAGTGCTGCTGACCCAATGCCACCTCCCTCTGTCTTCCCCGACACCATCCCTTTCCCCCTTTTAACCATATTTCTCCCTATGGTGACGCCAAAAAATAAGCAACCATTGACCAAATATCTGCTACACATGAAGCCAAAACCCTACATGTGTTATCTTCTTCTTTTTTTTTTTTTTGAGACAGAGTCTCGCTCTGTTGCCCGGGCTGGAGTGCAGTGGTGCGATCTCGGCTCACGGCAACCTCTGCCACCTGAGTTTGAGAGATTCTCCTGCCTCAGCCTCCTGTGTAGTTGGGAGTACAGGCACCCGCCACCACGCCCGGCTAATTTTTGTATTTTTAGTAGAGACGGGGTTTCACCATGTTAGCCAGGATGATCTCGATCTCCTGACCTCGTGATCCACCCGCCTCAGCCTCCCAAAGTGCTGGGATTACAGGCGTGAGCCACTGCGCCCGGCTGTGTGTTATCTTCTACGCCAGTTTTTCTGATTCTCAGTTTATAGATGGGAAAGGAGACGCTTCCAGCAGCAGGAACTTGCTCAAGGTCACTCAGCAAGTAAGCCGGTGGAGCCAATTCAGACTCAAGTCTAACAGATTCGAAGCCCTAACTGTTCTCCTAGGCGGCCTCGCTGGGTCTCCCCAAACTCCGCAGCATTACAGCCCCACCCTCGGGCCCCCTTCCTGGAGGCCTGGTGGGGCGCAGGAGCAGGAAGAGAACAGGCCTCACCTGGGCCCGCTCACCTGTGAAGGGGTCCCAGACGTGCACAGCCCCGTCACAGCTCACCACGTGCTGCGGGGCCTCAAGCTGGCCCACGAAGAAGACGCTCTTGCGGTGCTGGGTGTAGACGAGGCGTGGGGCCGTCTCGCTGGTCCCGTCGCCGTAGTTGTACAGCGGCCAGAGGCGCACGGTACGATCCTTGCTGCCGCTCAGGAAGAAGTCCTCGCTGCTTAGGGGTGCCACGCACTTGACGGCCCCCGAGTGGCCCGGGAAGCTCTGCAGGCGGATCTGGTGGAAGTGAAAGTGGGCATCCTGCTGGCTCACGCCGATCTCGTACTGCCAGTACGCCAGCCAGTTTCCGCTCAGCCCGTGCACGCTCCGCGGCAGCTCCTGCTTCAGGGCGTTGTCGTCGCTCCCGCTGCCCAGGCCCCCGCCACCCACCCCCGAGATGGGGCCCAGTGGTCCGGGGTTCTCAGGCCGAGAGTCATTGGGGATCTGAATGCGGTTCCCCACCAGGACGCTCCCAAAGGTCCCTGAGTGGCCGTCATCCTGAGGGCAGCCCCCACCATGGGGGTCCCACTCGGGCCCGGTGCCGGGCATGGTGGGCTCCACGCTGGCAGGGTTGCGACTGCTGGGGCTGATGCTCTCCAAGTACAGCGCCGCCAGCTCCCCAACCAGCTCGTGGTTGGGGATGATTTTCCGGATGATGTCACCTGGATAGGAGTGGGAGAGGTCCTGAGACAGGGAAGATGGCAGGCGGCTGCTATCACCCATCCAAGGACTCGGGAGCCACAGAAGATGGGGCAGGAACTGGCTCTGCAACTCTGGGCAAGTAACTCTGTCTCTGAGCCTCAGTTTCCTCCTCAGTGAAATGTGGATTCATTCCGTTGTGATGTACACATGAGCATCTTCTATATGTGCCGTGCCGTGCTGGGCACTAGGAATAGAATATGGAACAAGACAGGTGGTGCCCTGGCCTCCCAAGCTTAGATTTCAGTGGCAGGATGATAACAGGTGTAACCACAAGGCTGTCTGTCCTCTCCAGGGAGATGACACGCTGAAACGATCAGCACAGCACCGTGCAGGGCCCAGAGGGGAAGCTTCGTAAACAGGAGGCCACTCCTTCCCTCTCGCCAGCTCCTGCGGACCGCCAGTCCACCTCCCTGACTCTCCTGCCTTCCCCAGGGACACTACAGGCCAGCTTCTGGGCCTCTCTTGCTGGCTACTGCTCAGTCCTTGTTTGTGTGTCACCTTGGGGGTAGGGGTCTGAGGCCAAATCCCTTTGCTCTCACCCATCCTGCTGGCTCTTAGAACCCACTGCTGACTCTGGGGCAAGGGCAGAGAATGGGGCCTCCCAAGGGAGGAGACAGCCACGAAGACTGTGATGGGGAACGTGATGGGGCAGTACCCAACAGGCAGGAGAAGGGCACGTAGATTGTGTATGCCATCTCCAGGGTGAACACCTTCTGCAGCTCGTCCAGCAGGGCGGGGTCCACGGGCCGCTGCTGCCCATCAGAGAAGACCACCTGTGGCAGCTGGCCCTCACCACGGCCCGCAGGGTCCAGCTTCAGATCCTATGAGCAAGACACCCAGGGGGTCAGCCGGGTCCACAGCTCCCACCCTGGCCCACCCTGGTCCTCGCCACGGCCCGCGGAGTCCAGCTTCAGATCCTATGAGCAAGATGCCCAGGGGGTCACCCAGGTCCACAGCCCCCGCCCCAGCCCGCCCTGGCCCAGCAGATCTGCCCACCTGTTGCCGAAGCTCATGCAGCTGAGAGAAGACCTGGAAAAAGGTGGCCACGGGCTCGCTCAGGTGCTGCTGGACCATCTCCTGTCCAATGCGCAGGCAGATGAGGGCGATGAGGCTGATGGTTTTCACACACAGGATGGTCCGAGCCTGGGCCCCACTTGGGAACCTGGAAACAGAGCTCATGAGCTCCAGCCCGCCGTTCTGCAGGACTTGACCAGAATCTAGCAAAATCTTTATTTATTTTTATTTTTATTGAGATGGAGTCTTGCTCTGTCATCCAGGCTGGAGTGCAGTGGTGCGATCTCGGCTCACTGCAACCTCTGCCTCCCGGGTTCAAGCGATTCTCCTGCCTCAGTCTCCCGAGTAGCTGGGACTACAGGCATGAGCCACCATACCCGGCTAATTTTTTTTGTATTTTTAGTAGAGACAGGGTTTTGCCATATTGGCCAGGCTGGTCTCGAACTCCTGACCTCAAGCGATCCACCCACCTTGGCCTCCCAAAGTGCTGGGATTACAGGCATGAGCCACAGCACCCAGCATATATATATACTTTTTTTTTTTTTTGAGACAGAGTCTTGCTCTGTCGCCTAGGCTGCAGTACAATGGCGTGATCTCAGCTCACTGCAACCTCCGCTTCCTGGGTTCAAGCAATTCTCCCGCCTCAGCCTCCTGAGAACCTGGGATTGCAGCCTCCCGAGAACCTGGGATTGCAGGCACCTGCTGCCATGCCCAGCGAAGATTTTGTATTTTTAGTGGAGACGGGGTTTCACCATGTTGGCCAGGTGGGTCTCAAACTCCTGACCTCGTGATCCACCCGCCTTGGCCCCCCAAAGTGCTGGGATTACAGGGGTGAGACACCACGCTCGGCCTTTATATATATTTTTAGAGAGGGGGTCTCATTTTGTTGCCCAGGCTGGTCTTGAACTCCTGGGCTCAAGCAATCTTCCCGCCTCAGCCTCTCAAAGTGCTGGGATTACAGGCATGAGCCACCGTGCCCGGACATATCAAAAGCTTTAAATGAAAGAGCTCCAAGACCAACTGGTCCAAACCAGATGAGGAAACTGAGGCACAGGAAAAGGGTGTGGTTTGCTCAGGGTCACACAGCCGGGATCAAAACCAGGACTCTTGACACCCAGTCCAGTGTTACGTCCTCTCCCCTGAGCTTCCCACCCCCTCCTGGGCAGCCCCTCCGCTGGGCCGGTCCCCCTACATCAGCTGGGGCAGAGGCCTACCCCGTGACGAGGGAGGTGAGGAAGCTGAGCACGGGCAGCAGGACCTCATGGCTGATCCGGGGCAGGATGTCCATGAGTGTGGTGTCTGAGAGGTACACGATGATCTTCTGAGTCAGCGTCACCGCGGCCAGCAGCCCCGCCTCCTTACGGCTGTTCAGTCGGCTGGGGCCTGAGGCACTCCCTGGGGCCACCTAGAGCCACCGAGCAGATGAGGGCCGGGCAGCCCCACAGACCCCCTGGCACCAAGAGAGCCCGGGCCGGCCCTCAGGTCCTCAGCCTTCCCAGCCCCGGGCCTGCCAAACCAGCGACTGACCAGGTAGCTGATGTAGGGCAGGTACTGGTAGGTGAGGACAGGCTCCCCATACAGGCGGGCGATGTGGAGGAGGCAGCTGAGCACAGGCCCTGACACGATGTCGCCCAGGACCGGCCTCTTCTGGTAGATGTTGCCGGCGCTCAGCGGTGGGCTCTCGCCACTGCTCACTGTGAACTGCTGCCGAGTGGGTCCTGCCACGGAAGGGCCAGCAGCCCTGAGTCGCCAGTGGAGGGCCGGGGGTAGCCTGGCCCTGCAGGGCTGTGCTGGCCGCTTGAGCTCACTCTAGCTGGGGGCCCAGCCTGGCCCTACCCAAGGCTGGCACTTAGACTGGGACCCAGCACCTGGCCGGGGGGTGGTTTGAGGGAGGGGTGGGAAGGATCCCCGCCGGAGAGCGCTGAAGCTAGGCAGAGGGCCTGGGAGAAAGCCTCATCTCCAGCACTGACCGCAGGCCTCCTTACCAACATAACAAGACGTCAGCAGGCGGAGCAGGTTCCGGGCCACGTGGCGAGAGGCCACTGTGGGGCCGAGCTTGGCAGACAGCCAGCGGACCATCTTGCAGGCTGTATCTGCGGGGTGGGAGCAGGCCCTGAGCTCCTCAGATAACAGGGGCTCATCACCCCTCCCACCCCACCCCACGGCACCCCACTCAACCACCTGCGGCTGCAGCTCTGCCAAGAGCCCAGCCCGGGCCGGCTGTCCCACACCACCCCCTCCACGTAACAGCGGCAGAGGTGCCCAGGCCCTGGCCTGTGGGACTCTGGCTGCCGCAGGTTCCTCTCCACAGGCACGACCCGCAGGAAGTTAGCCTGCCCGTGGGTCTTCTGAAACTCCTTAACAAGGCCTGGCCCGGCCCTGGCCACCTTCCCTCTGGCCTCTCTTCCCTCCACTCCCTCGGTCTCGCCATAACGGCCTTTCCCTGCTTCTCTTCTTCTTCTTCTTCTTTTTTTTTTTTTTTGAGACAGAGTCTCGCACTGTTGCCCAGGCTGGAGTGCAATGGCACAATCTCAGTTCATTGCAACCTCCACCTTCCACCGCCCTGACTCTCCTCCTTGAACCTCCGGGTTCAAGCGATTCTCCTGCCTCAGCCTTCCAAATAGCTGAGATTACAGGCACCCTCCACCATGCCCAGCTAAGTTTTTGTATTTTTAGTAGAGATGGGGTTTCACCATATTGGCCAGGATGGTCTCAATCTCCTGACCTTGTGATCCATCCGCCTCAGCCTCCCAAAGTGCTGGGATTACAGGCGTGAAGCACCGCGCCCGGTCCCCCGCTTCTCTTCTTTAATGGAACATGACAGCCTCAGAGCCTCACACATGCTGTTCCCTCAGCCTTCAGACTTTCTTTTTGCCCATTTTTGTCTACCTTCTTCCTACTCCTCCTTGAACCTCAACTGTCTCTCCTTTTAAGGAAGCCTGCTCTGACCCTTGAAAACTAGATGTAAAAGCACCATTTTTTTTTTCTTTTTTGAGACGGAGTCCCGCTCTGTTGCCCAAGCTGCAGTGCAGTGGTGTGATCTCAGCTCACTGCAACCTCCACCTCCTGGGTTCAAGTAATTCTCCTGCCTCAGCCTCCTGAATAGCTGGGATTACAGGTGCCCGCCACCACGCCTGGCTAATTTTTGTATTTTTAGTAGAGATGGGGTTTCACCATGTTGGCCAGGCTGGTCTCGAACTCCTAACCTCAAGTGATCCTCCTGCCTCGGCCTCCCAAAGTGCTGGGATTAGAGGCGTGAGCCACGGCGCCCGGCCGAAAAGCTCCATGTTGCACTCCCTCCTAGGAATGCAGCCATGTTCTTTATCGCACTAACATAATACACTTGCTTAAGACTGTCTGCACTGCGGCATCTCGTCTGCTGGGTGTGAGCTCTGTGAAGGCAGGCCTACATTTGTGTTGCCGGTGGTCCTGGCTCGATCCACTGCTTGGCACAGAGTAGGTGCTCTGCCAGTGTGCAGGGAGAAGCAGGAGCTGTTTTTTTGTTTTGTTTTGTTTTTTTGAGATGGAGTCTCGCTCTGTCGCCCAGGCTGGAGTGCAGTGGTGCGATCTCGGCTCACTGCAAGCTCCGCCTCCCGGGTTCACGCCATTCTCCTGCCTCAGCCTTCCGAGTAGCTGGGACTACAGGTGCCTGCCCCCACGCCCGGCTATTTTTTTGTATTTTTAGTAGAGACGGGGTTTCACCTTGTTATTAGGATGGTCTCGATCTCCTGACCTTGTGATCCGCCCGCCTCAGCCTCCCAAAGTGCTGGGAATACAGGCGTGAACCACTGTGCTCGGCCAGCAGGAGGTGTTTTTGACCAACACCTCCCAGACCTGGGAACTTACCAAGGAGGATCTTCTGTTCTTTGCCTTCTGACTGCTCAGGCAGTGCCTCCTCCTCTTCTTCTCCATCTCCCCCACTGCCGCCGGCCACAACCGTCTCCATGGACAGCACCGTGTCAGACAGAGTGAGCTCAGATGCCCCGGTGACCTCCTCCTGCTCCCCCTCCTCCTCCTCTAGCACCACGCAGCTGTCCTCCTCCTCCTCTTCCTCCTCGGAGCCCTCGCTTTGCTTCAAGTCCTGGCTGCTGTCACCTGATCGAAGGCTGCTCTTGTCCACGGGGGCACCCCCCTCGTCTGGAGCCCGCTCCTCACCCAGGGAGGTCTCGCTGGTGCTGCTCTTGTCACTCAGCCGGCCCAGGCTCACAGCCTCAGCCTCCTGGGGCTGGGGAGACTCAGTCACATAGAGCCCGGCTTGGAAGTCCTCTGTCTCAGGGAGGTCAGCCTGGTCGTGGAAGCTGACGCCAGACGTGTAGTCTGGGAGCCCCAGGCCCGAGGAGGCAGGAGGCTCCCCATCCATGGGAATCTCCTCCCCAAAAGCACAGGAGCCAGGCCCGGCCCCGGGCAGCCCGCTCTCCTCCTCCTCAGCAGCCCCTGCCAGGTCCTTGCTCTCCTCCTGGGAGGCCTCTGCGCCCGCCAGCACCTGCAGGACATGGGGCAGCAGGTGAGTGAGAAATGCCTGCAGGCCCAGCCGCACCATCAGCTGGGCCACAAAGCAGTCCGTGTACAGGTAGAAGCGGCCGTGTAGCTGGCAGGGGCTCTCGTAGGCACCAATGAGCGGCTTCAGGAGGTACTTATTGGCATTTTTGGGGCCCAGTGCCTTGGCAACAGGCTCAAACAGATACCAGGCCGTGTACACAGCTGTGTGCTCCTCGGACATGAGTGAGAGCACGAAGGGCAGCAGGATCTCCAGGCCCTCAGGGGTGATGTCCTTCAGCACCGCGCCCAGCTGCTGCCACAGAGCAAACACCAGCTCGCGCCCCTGGGCCTCGTCCTCCACACGCCTTGCCTGGTACAGGAGGATGAATCTGTGCAGTGCCGGGAAGTAGGGTGGGAAGGGAACCACGGAGCTGAAGGGGCTGAGAAGCTGGCTTGGGCAGGGTGGGGGCAGGCCCTGGGAGACAGGCCTGTACTCAAACAGTTGGTCCAGCTTGCCCCTCTCTGCTCCCATGGGGACTTCGGGGCCACTCATCTGCAGGAGTGTGTCCAGCACGGGCTGCAAAGACACAGGGACCTCCTTGGGGTGGCGCGTGCAGAGCCCTCGGACAGCCTGGAAGCGTACCCACAAAGGTGCATCGGGCTGCAGCGTCCGCACCCTGGTGGCAAACACCATCTCTGCCAATAGGACACCCAGCGCCTGCATGTCCCTGTGGAGTAGGCACTGCAGTGGCACAGCCGGCTGGACCCGGGGCTGCTCAGGCACCTCCAACAGGCCCCCTAGGCCTTTGGCCAAGAAGTTGCCCGTTTTCTCCAGCTCCTCCAGGGCCTGCATGGGATTGAAGCCCTCGGGAAGAAGAATCCTCCCCTCCTCACCCTCCCCAGGGTCTGCCCCAGCAGCTTTATTCCTGCGGCCTGGACGGGAGGCTGAGGCCACTGAGAAAGAGAGAAGTCCAGGGGACGCTTGACTGGAGGAGCCCAGCTGGTCACCTGCTTTCCCAGCAAGGGAAATGGAATCCAGAGCTTCTGTGGCCTGTTCCAAGTCGTCTTCTCCTGCCACCGGCCTGTCTCTGGTCCAGCTAGCCTCACAGGGAGTGGCCTCTAAAACTGGCCGGCCCACTCCATTTGGAAGCTGTCCCGGGTTTTCCGTGAAGTCCTCCCGGCCTGTGGTCTCCTGGATGGTCTGGACCAACAGCTTGGGGATGAGGGGAGGCTCGGGGGCAAGGGCAGGAGCCCCAGCCAGGCGCTGGGGGTGTGGCTGATCGAAGAGCTGCACCACCCCGTAGCTGGCCAGGTGAGTGTGGGCGTCCACCAGGTGCAGACACACATTCTTTTCCTTGACAGCCTCCTTACCCTGGAGTTTATAGCCAAACGTGAGGTCGATCCAATGGTGCAGGTCCCGGGATACCTCGCGGCTCTCCAGCAGGGCTCGGTGGGCAGCTACGAACTCCTGGCTGGAGCTGCACCAGGCTGGCACATCCAGGTCAGGCATGTCGGGGTGGATGGAGCGGAAGATAGAGGGATCGGTGTAGAACTCCGGAATGCACTCATCCGGGGTCCAGTTCTGCATCCGCTCCATGCTGGCCGGATACTCATGGGGCTCCCACTG
Organism: Homo sapiens; assembly: GCF_000001405.40. Taxonomy (NCBI): domain Eukaryota; kingdom Metazoa; phylum Chordata; class Mammalia; order Primates; family Hominidae; genus Homo; species Homo sapiens. Next base: position 1,726,366 of record NC_000017.11, on the reverse strand, counting down.
CGCGCGGACGTGTCCGCAGAGCACCGACCGAGGCGTGCGCCGAGCCTTGTACACATAGTACGTGATGTCGGAGAGCACGTCTGAGATGTGGTGGGGAACATGAGGGGGTTCCCCGCCGCCCGCCCCGCCTGCTACGAATGCCTGCCGTGTCATCTCATACGTGAAGTCCAGTTGCTTATCCCCCTTGTTGAGGCGGAACTTGGACTTGCGCAGGTCTCGGAAGCGCCCATGGGGCGTAGTGAAGTCCACCACCCAGGGCAGCACGGGGTGGTAGTTGGGGTCCCCCTGCCGCCGACCTGCCAACCGATTCAGCTGCATGAGGTAGTGGAAGTTGCTGATGCGGCCGTGGACCCAATCTAGCACGAGGCTCCGAAGTTCCTCCTGGCCAGTGGGTTGCCCAGGTTGCCCTCCCTGCTCCTCTTGAGACACAATGCCCGCCTCATCCCTTGCCACAGGGGCCTCCTCATTCTCGTCCTCCTCGGGCCTCTCATAAGCACTCAGGTCCAGTCGCAGCTCGCTGCAAAGCTTCTCATCCACTGCGATGTGATACAAAGACAGGGCCCCACACGCCAGCCCCTGGCGGTGACAGGCGTCCATAGCCCTCAGCACGCGGAAGAGAATGAACAGCACCTTGGCCTGGCTGTTGGTCAGCTTGGCAGGGCTGAAGGTGACCACGTCATGTAGGGAGAACTGTACGTAAGGGTGTACCACATACAGCATCTCCGGCGACTCCAGCAAGGCCTCAGCCCGTAAAAGACTAGGGCAAGCAGGGCTGCCCCGAGGGGGGCAGGGGCCTTCTCTGGCATATGAAGGGCATTGGGTAGTTTCACCCACTGGCAGGAAGGAGCAACCATAGACCCTCTGCAGAGCCTGCCGTACTGAGTCCAAGGCAGGGACAGCTGAGGGGGCAGGGCTGTGACTGTACGGCTGGCCGTAAGTGTGGTATGCATGGCGCCACAGGTTGCGATAATTCTGGGCGGCAACCTCCTGCATGAAGCGAGTGAGGGTCTCAGGGCCGCAGGACCCGTCCTCAAAGGGCAGGCCCCCGCCCAGAGGGTAGGACAGTCTCCGCTTCCGCAGCCCATGCACCTCCACGCGCGTCCAGCCGGCAGGCAGCCTTTGCACAGAGCGCTGCAGGAGAGTCCTGACTTCCGCTTCTCCCAGGCCCTCTGCGCGGGGACAGGGTCCCAGGGGCAGCCGGCGATCGCGGAGGCTGGCCAGCCAGCGCGCAGGCACTAGGGCCACCACGTGGGTGCCCCCCGGGGCCGGAGCCAGCTGCCTGGGATCGATGCTCAGGTCCCTCTCCACGCTCCGGAGCAGCTCCTGCATGTCTGGGCTTGGCGGGGAATGCCAGCCCCCGGCCGGGGTTCTGAGAGCGCCTTCCCGCCCCCCGCTGCCCTGGGCCATCTCCTCCAGGCCGCCCGGGGGCAGCGCGGGGCTGAGCCCAGCCACGGCCCTGCTGGCGACGGCTTCCGGGGTGCCAGGCCGGCGGGGCTGGGATGGGCGCGGGACAGGGGCTGGGGCGGAGGCGGCCGCAGGAAGCCGGCGGCGGCGAAGAGGCGGACGGGGGGCGCGCTTACCCCTCCGCGGGTCCTGCGCTCCGGGCGCGGCGGGGCAGAGGCTGCCGGGCGCGAGCACCGGGCTCCACCGTGACGGGTCAGCTGACGCGGGTCACGTGATCGCCCCAGCACGGAAACAAGCGCACGTGGCTCCAGAGGCCCGGGCGGGACCCCGCTTCCTGCCCGGCGGCCTCCCCGCCCTCCCTCCCGCTGCTCCGCTCTGGCTCGGTCTGGGCTCCGCTTCCTCCCGGGGCTGAAAGGGTCTCCAGCCAGCTCCAGCCGGGCCCGGCGGAGGGCGATGCCTACCGCCCCACCCCTCCCTACTCCCTCCAGCACGCACCAGCGCGCGGGTCCCGGAGGCTGTTCCCAGAGATGCCAGCCTCTTAGTTAAGTGCGGACCGCACAACCAGGGGCAGAACTGGGACTTCTGTTGTGTCTATTTTTGAGACGGAGTCTTGCTCTGTCGCCCAGGCTGGAGTGCAGTGGCGCGATCTCGGCTCACCGCAACCTCTGCCTCCCGGGTTCAAGCGATTCTCTTGCCTCGGCCTCCCGAGTAGCTGGGACGTCAGGAGCGCGCCACCACGCCCGGCTAATTTTTGTATTTTTTAGTAGAGATGGGGTTTCGCCTTGTTGGCCAGGCTGATCTCGAACTCCTGGCCTCGTGATCCACCCGTCTCGGCCTCCCAAGGTGCTGGGATGACAGGCGTGAGCCACCGCGCCCGGCCAGAACTGGGACTTTTGACATGGAATCCCCCCGGCGCCTCCATGCCACCTTCCATAGGAAGGAGCTTTTTAACTTTCCTAAGTACTTCAACAGTCACATTCCATTTGGCCCTCGCAACACACTCTGTGAGGTAGGGAGGACAGTTATTACTGTTTATATTTTACAAGTGATAACCAACAACCGCCAGAGAGGCTTGTCCGCCTGGCGGAATGGAGACTTAGAAACTGGTGCCAGCCTTCTTTCTGCCCAGGAGCACTGCCTCCTGACAGCCCTCTCACGGCTTTTTAAAAAACAAAACTGGCCGGGTGCAGTGGCTCACGCCTGTAATCCCAGCACTTTGGGAGGCTGAGGCAGCTGGATCACGAGGTCAGGAGATCGAGACCATCCTGGCTAACACGGTGAAACCCCGTCTCTACTAAAAACACAAAAAATTACCTGGCCGTGGTGGGGGGCGCCTGTAGTCCCAGCTACTTGGGAAGCTGAGGCAGGAGAATGGCATGAACCCAGGAGGCAGAGCTTGCAGTGAGCCGAGATGGCGCCACTGTACTCCAACCTGGGCAACAGAGCGAGACTCCGTCAAAAAGAATAAATAAATAAATAAATAAATAAATAAATAAATAAATAAAAATAAATAAATAAAAATAAAACCAAATAAATAAATAAAAATAAATAAATAAAATAAAATAAAAATAAAACGAAACCCTGGGCTGTCTGAGGGAGAGAAGTGGCCCAGGCCCAGAGGCCTGGTGTTTTGGGGGAAGAAATGTTCCCCCAAGACTTCCTGTTGAAGATTGGCCTCTGCGGTACCACAGAGCCTGCCAGCTGTGGTCAGAGCCTCCAGATGTCACTGTGGCTGGGGGAAGGGTGCGGCACAGGATATGGAATAGAAACCAGACAGCCGGCACCAAAGCAACATGATTCCTCAAGGGGTCTTAGTTCTGACTCATCTGCAGGACAGATAGACCATTGTCTACAGTGAAACCACTGGCCCTGTTTCTTTTGTCTCCCTCTTAGGAGAGAGTTTGCCTCTTGAAGGAGTTTGGTGTACAGGTGTGAGGGTCCCATAAAGACACTTAGGAAAACTAGGCCTTGGCCGGTCACGGTGGTTCACACCTGTAATCCCAGCACTTTGGGAGGCCAAGGTGGGCGGATCATGAGGTCAGGAGTTCAAGACCAGCCCGGCCAACTTGGGGAAACTCCATCTCTACTAAAAACACAAAAAAATTAGCCGGGTGTGGCAGCGGGTGCCTGTAATCCCAGCTACTCAGGAGGCTGAGGCAGGAGAATCGCTTGAACCTGGGAGGCGGAGGTTGCAGTGAGCTGAGATCACACCACTGCACTCCAGCCTGGGTGGCAGAGTGAGACTCCGTCTCAAAAAAAAAAAAAAAGAAAGAAAGAAAAGAAAAGAAAACTAGGCCTGATAGGAGAGAAAATAGGAGGGCCGGGTGCGGTGGCTCATGCCTGTAACCCAGCACTTTGGGAGGCTGAGATGGGCAGATCACCTGAGGTCAGGAGTTCAAGACCAGCCTGACCAACATGGAGAAACCCCATCTCTACTAAAATACAAAAATTAGCCAGGTGTGGTGGCGGACGCCTCTAATTCCAGCTACTTGGGAGGCTGAGGCAGGAGAATCGCTTGAACCCAGGAGGCAGAGGTTGCAGTGAGCCAAGATAGCGCCACTGCACTCCAGCCTGGGCAACAGAGTGAGACTCCATCTCAAAAAAAAAAAAAAAAAGAGAGAGAAAACAGGAATGTCTCAGCCATGATCTGATTTCATCTGTCTCCTCTTCCTTGAAGGGTAGCTGGAGCCTCTCATGTGCTTGGTCATATGATCCTGGGCAGTAGTAACTTACAACAAACTTGTATGGAGCATTACCAGGAGCTAGTCATCTGTTAAGCATTTTGCATACCCTGTTTTGTGTAATCCTCACCACCCCTTTTAAGAAGATTTTTTTTTTTAAGACAGAGTTTCGCTCTTGTTGCCCAGGCTGGAGTGCAATGGCGCGATCTCAGCTCACCGCAATCTCCGCCTCCCGGGTTCAAGCGATTCTCCTGCCTCAGCCTCCCTAGTAGCTGGGATTACAGTCATGTGCCACCATGCCCGGCTAATTTTTGTATTTTAGTAGAGACAGGGTTTCTCCATGTTGGTCAGGCTGGTCTCAAACTCCCGACCTCAGGTGATCTGCCTGCCTTGGCCTTCCAAAGTGCTGGGATTACAGGTGTGAGCCACCGTGCCCGGCCTGATTTTTTTTTTTTTTTTTAAGACAGAGTCTCACTCTGTTGCCCAGGCTAGAATGCAGTAGTGTGATCTTGGCTCCCTGCAGCCTCGACCTTCCAGGCTCAGGTGAACTTCCCACCTCAGCCTCCTGAGTAGCTGGGACTACAGGAATGTGCCACCACATCCAGCTAATTTTTTGTATTTTTGTAGTAACCAGGTTTTGCCATGTTTCCCAGGCTGGTCTTGAACTCCTGGGCTCAAGCAATCGGCCCATCTCGGCCTCTCAAAATGCTGGGATTACAGGTGTGAGCCATGGTGCCCGAGTGATTTTTTATTTATTTTTTTTGACACAGGGTCTCACTCTGTCACCCAGGCTGCAGTGCAGTGATTTGTCACAGCTGACTGCAGCCTCGACCTCCCCAGGCTCAGGTGATCCTCCCACCTCAGCCTCCCGAGTAGTTGAGACTACAGGCAGCGTCACCAAGCCCAGCTAATTTTTTTTTTCGAGACAAAGTTTCGCTCTTGTTGCCCAGGCTGGAGTGCAATGGCACCATCTTGACTCACCACAACCTCCGCCTCCCGGGTTCAAGTGATTCTCCTGCCTCAGCATCCCGAGTAGCTGGGATTATAGGTGCCTGCTACCACGCCTAGCTAAATTTTATATTTTTAGTAGAGCTGGGATTACAGTCGTGAGCCACAGTGCCCAGCCCCAACTTTGATATAAATACCTGAAATCAGAGGATATGTTTTGATGGTTAGAAGGTAGTGCTTGCTTCTTAGTACCAATAGAGCTGGCTGGGTCCACCTGTTCTTTGCGCTGGTCTCAGTTTACCTAGATTGAGCAGGTACTACTTTTTCTGTCTGCAAGTCTGTGTGTGCCCTGCCCTCTAGCGGTACTGGGGTTACACTGCAGCAGTGACCTTGAGTGTACCTAATTTTACCTCTTGAAATTCTCCTTTCCTCCCGAGAATAGAGATGTCCTAGCAATATTGGGAACTGGCGCACTGGGATTCCTGGGGCCTCAAACCCTGGCCCAATCTGAGCCCTAGGGCAGTAGTTTTCAAATTTTAGGGCATAATTCTTTTTTTTTTTTTTTTCTTGATACGGAGTCTGACTCTGTCGCCCAGGCTGGAGTGCTGTGGCACGATCTCGGCTCACTGCAACCTTCACCGCCCAGGTTCAAGCAATTCTCCTGCCTCAGCCTCCCGAGTACCTGGGATTACAGGCGCCTGGCTAACTTTTGTATTTTTAGTAGAGATGGGGTTTCACCATGTTGGCCAGGCTGGTCTCAAATTCCTGACCTCAGATGATCCGCCCGCCTCCGCCTCCCAAAGTGCTGGAATTACAGGCGTGAGCCACCATGCCCGGCCCTTTAGGGCATAATTCTAATTCAGGAGTCTGGAGTGAGATACAGCTATCTAAATGTTTAACAAGTACGCGAGGTAATTCTGATGCAGCAACCTTCAGGCTATGTCTTGAGAAGTAACGTCTGTAACAGCTCTCTTCCGGAATTTCCCTCTCACTGCCCCCAGTAAGCGTGTTCCCTGAATCCCAATGCAAGCACCTTTGGGCTCTGGGGAATCTCAGACCAAATTAGCCGCTCCCCTTGGCCAGCCTCAGTATTGGGTTTCCGGGAGGTCATGTCTTGGATAGTCAGGGACAGAGGCTGCAGCTGCCCCACCAGTCAGCCCATGTTGAGCGGGGTCAGCTCTTGCTAATCCGGCAGGGAGAAAAGTAGTGCACCAGCTGCGGACCAGTGTGGCAGGTACTATGCTAGGTGTTTTCTAATTAAATCTACGCTAGGTGTTTTCTAATTAAATCTACGCTAGGTGTTTTCTAATTAAATCTATGCTAGGTGTTTTCTAATTAAATTTGTTTTTCGTTTTTTTCTGAGATGGAGTCACATTCTGTCACCTAGGCTGGAGTGCAGTGGCGCCATCTTGGCTCACTGCAACCTCTGCCTCGGCCTCCTGAGTAGCTGGGACCACAGATACCACCACACCTGGCTAATGTTTTGTATTTTGGGTAGAGCTAGAGTTTCATCATGTTGCCCAGGCTGGTCTCGAACTCCTGAGCTCAAGCAATCTGCCTGCCTCAGCCTCCCAAAGTGCTACAATTACAGGTGTGAGCCACCTCGCCAGGCCATTTTTTAATTTTTTTTTTTTTTAAAGAGGGTCTTGCCACGTTGCCCAGGCTGGTCTTGAACTCTTGGGCTCAAAGTGATCCACCTGCTTCGGCCTCCCAAAGTGCTGGGATTACAGGTATGAGCCACTGTGCCTGGCCACATTTTTAATTTTTTTTTTTTTTTCTTTTTTTGAGACGGAGTCTTGCTCTGTCACCCAGGCTGGAGTGCAGTGGCCCAATCTTGGCTCACTGCAAAGCTCCGCCTCCTGGGTTCACGCCACTCTCCTGCCTCAGCCTCCCAAGTAGCTGGGCACTACAGGCGCCCGCCACCACGCCCGGCTAATTGTTTGTATGTTTATTAGAGACGGGGTTTCACAGTGTTAGCCAGGATGTTCTCCATCTCCTGACCTCGTGATCCGCCTGCCTCAGCCTCCCAAAGTGCTGGGATTACAGGCATGAGCCACCGCGCCCGGGCACATTTTTAACTTTTAAAATATTTTTAAATGTTGAAATCCCTACAACAAGGCTTGAATTCCTTATTCACCGTATGTTGTAGATGAGGGGAAATTATCGGTAACAAGTTCACAGCTAGTAAGAGCTGGAATTTGAATCTAAGTGTGCCTAACACAGTAGTTCTCAGTTGGAGGAGATTTTGGCCCCTAGGAGACATTTGGTAACGTCTGGAGATACTTTTGGTTGTCAAAACTGGGAGCTGGGGGTGGGTGGGTGTTGCCACTGACATCTAGGACAGAGGCCAGGGACCACGTGGATGTCCTATTGTGCACCCGGTAGCCCTCCCACAAGAAATTATTCTACTTAAAATGCCAGTGGGTGCTGAGGTGGCGAAACCCTGGACTCGAAGCCTGTGCTTTTGACCTAGGGGGTGGGGTCAGTGTTCAGAACAAAATGGAAAAGGGTCACCCCAAGGGCCGTGAGTGGGAAAGGGATGGGATTTCTATGCTCAGGATAATGGAGAATAGGGGCCACTGGTGAGGCTTCACTTCCTTCCATGCTTGGCCAGGGCCCTGCTCAATTTCTCCACGCCTTGCCAAGTCAGTCCTAGGACTTCACACTAAGCTTGTCCTGGAGTGACCCTGACTCCCAACTCAGGATCGAGGCAAAATATTTACCTGGGTCTTCCCAGCACTTCCCAGCCAAAGACGCTGGCTTCTGGGGCCAACGTGTCCCACCTGCAGTCCTTGAGCAATTAGGACCCTTGCTATGGGGGGTGGCCATGTGGGCAGGGCACCGCCAAAAGCCAAAAATGGAGCGGCCCAGGGACCAGGTGGCAGCTGAGAACAGTTAGAAGTGGAGTGAATGCGGCCGGGCGCGGTGGCTCACACGCCTATAATCCTAGCACTTTGGGAGACCGAGGCGGGTGGATCACCTGAGGTGAGGAGTTCGAGACCAGCCTGGCCCACATGGCAAAACACCATCTCTACTAAAAATACAAAAATTAGCTGGGAGTGGTAGCGCACGCCTGTAATCCCAGCTACTCAGGAGGCTGAAGGAGGAGAATCGCTTGAACCCGGGAGGTGGAGGTTGCAGTGAGCCGAGATCGCGCCACTGCACTCCAGCCTGGGCAACAGAGCGAGACTCTGTCTCAAAAACAGAAAAAAAAAAAATAAATAAGGAGGTGGAGTAAATGGGCAAAAGCAGGAGGATCCCATCAGCAGACACCTGTCCATGGAGGAATAGGGCAACTTGAGTAGGAAGTAGGGGGCGGCTGGCCTGAGAAGCAGCGTTCTGAACCCCAAGTTTGCTTCCCATAGCCATTCCTCCTCCCCAGGCTTGGTCCTCGGGTTCACTGTACCCTCCCCAGCGCCAGCCACCATTCTGGACCTCCCCAGTACTGGCCTTCCCCTAGACCAGGGAGGGTCTAGACCACAGAGTCTGAATTTACTGTGCTAACAGGAAATACCTCTCTTTCCAAGCCCAGAGCCTCTGAAGAACTAAGGAGCAGAGCGGGGTTGGGGTTGGGGGAGACAGTCTTGGAGTGATGGGGGAAAAGAAAGATCATACAATCACATCCCCCACGTTCTTTCCTTCACCACCCATGGGAGTGGATAAGGGGATGGAGGAGGGTAAGCAAGGAGGAGGATGTGGTAACAGCTGATTCGTCCCCAGAGGTCACACTTTCCAACAATCAGCTGTTACTGGGGCGCAAGGCAGGAAGTTTCCTTAAAGGCGCAATGTCCTGAACGCAGGCTCAGAATTTTGGAGCTCCAAGTGAACCTTATCAATTACCTGATGGAGTGCGTATTTAACAGAAGGAAGGATCTCACCCTCCAGCCTCATCATTCCTGCTTAGTTACCCTCAGCCCCTATTTGGAGCTGAAGGAAAAGGCATGGATTTCAGTCCACATGTTCCTCTTTGGGGGACTTGCGGGGATTGATAAGGTAGGGCAGGTCTCCGGCTTGCCCCTTTAAAAACGCCGACCAGCAGCTTTTGCCAAGTCACTGGGTTCATTTCACTTTTTGCCCATCCCCCGCTCATCTAGACTCTGATTGGCCCCTGGGGAAGGAGCAGCCTGCTCATTGGTCTCCACCTTCGAATCTCTTCCCTAAGTAGGCCTGAGTCAGTGAAGAGCTTTGGAGGGCGGGACTGAATGGGGGTTAATCAGAGGATGCGATTGCTGACCCTTTGCACTTTGGCATGGCCCATCCCCTAATTTCTGACCAGAAGCCCTCCCTCTACCCTAAGGTGAGGACTGTGCTATGAATCTTTTGTTAGAAAGCTACCTCTTGGGAGGCTCTGGGGGCTCTTCTGGGACTGGGAAGAGACATCCAAGAAAAAAAGCCTCCTGTGGTTAGGAAGAGCCCCCAGGAGGAGTGGGCTGGGCGAGGCGAGCACCCTCCCTCCTCCAAAAACCCTGGAGAGCTCTCCAACGGCAGTCTCTGCTGCCCTGGGGGCTGACGCTCTGCCCACTCCTGCTCCTTGGTCCGCTCCACCTTTCCTTAAAGAGCTATAGCGTCCCGCAGAGGCCGGCGAGTCAGTTTGGGGAATGTCTAAAAGAAGCACTCACGACTCCAACAAGGAGGGGCTGTCGCCCTTTAAGGACTTCCCCGGGCTGGATTCCGAGCTCAGTTTAAAAATGCCAACTCACAGAGCGCGCTGGGTTCTGGGAACGACGGTGTCAGGCTGAGAACTACACGGACCAGCATGCATTGCAAACGCAGACGCCGTGGCTTTCGCCTGCTCTTTAGGACTCTCGTTTGACGTAGCGCTTTTCTAAGCGGGTCGCTGACGCGGAGGGCTGGGCCACACCTGTCCGTCTATTGGCCGGCTCCTCAGTGGGTGGGCGTGGCTTCGTGCAATTCCGCCCGGCAAAAGGGTGGCCTCCTTGCCAATCAGAGCCAGGGCGCCCGGAGAGGCGGGACCAGGGCGAGGCCCCGTCGGCCCCCGGGTGGGCGGGGCCACGTTGCCCAGCAGTGGGCGGTGATTGGCCCCGGGCCGTGCATTCGCAGCTCGTGCGTCACGACGCCGCCAGCTGATCGGAGCCTGGAGCCGGTGTGTGCTGGGTGCCGAGAAGAGACAGCGCCGCCGGCCGTGGGGAGCGGACGCAGTGATTTGCTCCCCCTCGTGCAGCAACCCCCACACCCAGCACCAGGTGGGTGTGAGCTGGCGACCCGGTCACGCAGCGGGGAGCCGCGGTAACGGGATGGAGGGTGAAAGTGGGGTCCGGGCGGCCACACCCAGCCCTTCCGGGAGGAGAAGGGGCGGCGGGGGCAGGGGCGCCTCGGGGAGAGGGGCCTGGACTGGCCGGGTTAGTGTGTCAGGAGCTACGAGGAAAGAGTCTGGGACGGGAGTCGTGGCGGAAGGGCTGGCGGAGTGGCGGGGGGCGGGGGGAGAGCCGAGGGGCCGGAGGGCCGGGGGCGGCTCACCCGGCGGCCCCCGGTCTGAGGATACAGGGGCCGGCCATCTAGCCTGGGGAGGGTCTGGACCCCCCGAGCGGGCGGCGAGGAGGTGCTTTGCCTCTGCCGGCGTTCACTGGGTCAGGGCCAGTTCAGCGCCCTGGCAGGGAAGGGGTCGCTGGGCGGGCCGGCCCCTCCTCTCGTTCTCTCCAGGGGATGTTATGTAAGGGGGGAGGGGAGAGGAGTAGGGGGCGGCGGTGCCGGGGCCTTATGCAACCCAAAGGTTAGGGTTTCACCGTGGTTGGGCGGGGGGAAGAGGGCAAGAGGAGGGCCTGGAAACTCTAACCCCCGCTCCCCAGACTAACTGGCCGTCTTGGGCCGAGAGAAGGTCACCTCTGCACCTCCCCCCAGCCTGTCCGATTGTGAGGCCCCTAGCCCAGGCCTGGCCCTGACTGCCTGGGAAGCCGGCTGGCTGGGTGGGGCGCCTGGGTTAGTCATCACTGGGCTGCCTCTCTCCCCACCTCTCGGCCAACTCTTGGCCCCTCCCCATGGCCTCCGGCGAGGCTGTCACCCCCACCTCCCTCCGGCCCTGGTTCCAGCCTCCAACTCCTTTGGCCTGTCATCCTGGCTGTCAGATTGGGCTAGGAGCTGTCAGAGTGCCAGAGGGTTGATGGAGCAGCTGGTCAGAGGGTCAGTGCCCTGGGCCCACCCCGCCCTGCAGCCAAGGGCACCTGCTTGGCACAGACTCTCAGCAGCTGCTGAGTCCTCTGGGTTGAACAGAGCTATCTCAGACAGAGGAAGGTCGGACGGAGTTGGACTGGTCACCCAGGGGAAGGAAGATACACAAAGTTCATGCCTCCCAAGAGGGTTTCGGAATTTGAACCGCACCCCGTATCCCCCAATCTTTCTTACCCTCTGAGTATAGAAATTCCAAGGCAAGACCGCCTTGGCCCCTCAGCCTGGCGTGGGCCATGCCCTTGGACTGAGTGTCAGCACGGACCCGCCCTCCCCAGCTCACATCCCCCGAGCCTGCCACGCCCCCAGCCCCCTCCCTGGGCCATGCTGCAGGGCCCGGCTTTTCCTGCTGATTCATGCGTTGGAACTGTGGGGGCGGGGCTTGGAACTTGGAACAAAGTTCAGACATGGAGGGGCCGGCAGACAGCCTGGAATTCATACCAGATGTACCCGGAATGCGCAAGCGGAATGCCTGGCATCTGAGAGTCCTGGGGAAGCTGCCCAGCCACCCTGCCCATACCTCCCTCCCCTCCAGCCTGTGGTCCCCTGCCCGCCCCTCACAGCCCCGGCCACCCTGCCGATACCTCCCTCCTCTCCAGCCTGTGGTCCCCTGTCCGCCCCTCACAGCCCCGGGGGCCTCTGCTGACCTTCTTTCAAACGCTAGGCCTCCTCCCTTCCTCACTCTTCCCCAATCCAGGCCCCCAGAACTCTCCTTCCAGCTGAACTCCCTGGGAACAAGTCAGTTGGGCTGATCACTGAACTCACATTTCTGGACCTGAGGTACCACACTTCTAGTACCTGCGTGCTGGTGGGGTGTGTCCAGGGTCCCGGGCCCCACCCTGTCTGAATGCTGAGGAGGCTGGGCCCCCAGGGGCCGCTAGGGCAGGGGAGGGTGAGAGCAGGACTGGGTTTCTCTAGACTCCAGTTCTGGAAAGAAGAGCAAGGGAAGTCTGTTTACAGCCACCTCTTGCTGCTCAGCGAGGTTAACAGCTTCCGCGGGCCCAGATCAGAGCTGCAGCCCTGCATTAGAATCTCAGAGGTCTACTGGGGCAGGACCCTGATGGCCAGCGAGTGGGTCAGCGTTGCAGCAACATGCCCTGCTCAGATCTTTCCCATTTTCCCTCCCTTTCCCTTAGGAGCCTGTTCCTCTCACGCCCTCACCTGGCTGAGCCGCAGTAGTTCTTCAGTGGCAAGCTTTATGTCCTGACCCAGCTAAAGCTGCCAGTTGAAGAACTGTTGCCCTCTGCCCCTGGCTTCGAGGAGGAGGAGGAGCTGCTTTCCCCATCATCTGGAAGGTGACAGAAATGGGCTGGGAAGGTCCGAACAGCAGGGTGGATGATACGTTTTGGGCAAGTTGGAGAGCCTTTGCCCAGATTGGCCCAGCAAGGAGCGGTTTTAGATTAGAGACACTGGCTGGATTGAGGAGTAGAAGGCTCAAACAACCCAAGGTTAGTTGGTCTTTGTGTGACAGTGGGAAGAAGTGGAGAGAACACTCTGTCTCCCCGACTTCCTTCTTGACCCTCCTTCCGTATCTTTCATTCTTCCCCACTGGCCTTTCCAGATGAGGTCCAAAAGTAAGCTCACTCTTCAGGGAAAAGTGATACTAAACCCAGGCGTGAGGAGTCATCCTTCTGCTCTTACTTTTCCCTGCATTTCCTTAGGCTGGCCCAGACTCTAGATTCCTGGGCACTTACCTGTATCTGAGACCCTTAGACCTCCTGTCTCAGTTTCTCCACCTGTGAGATGGGCAGTCACACAGATGAGTGTGCATGAGGGAATCAGAAGCCCATCTGGGTTGACTCAGAACCCGGGCTCTCCCCCTGCTGTGGGTGGAAACAAAACACCTTTTCACAGAAGCTGTTGTCCCTCCCCCATCCCTGATACCATCACCCAGAAGCTGGGTGGGGAATGGGAAGCTGGAGGAGGGGGTTAGAGTTAGACCAATGCGAGGAGCTAGTAAGAGCTCGCCTCTCCGTGACTTCCCCCCATGCAAGGGTGGCCCAAGGCTTCCCCTGATATCCAAAGCAGGACAGCAGCCCCTTGGTGGGATTCTAACTGCTGCTACTCTGTTTCTTTCCTCACTTTGCTTTCCAAGGTGGTATGTGATCCCCAGCTCAGGCCTGTGCAGACAGGAAATTCTCCCCTGCAGCAAGTAGGGGAGGTGGGTTGTGGGATGTGACCTCCTTCCAGATATCAGGCAGTGAGTGTAAACCTGCCACCTCCAGCCCTGATCCATTCTCACCTAGCGGCTACAGGAAGCTGTGTCTGTTCGATTTGGTGGGAGGAGATGTGCAGGGAGCTGTATCTTGTCCTCCGCTTGTGAAAAACTCAAGGATGTGGAGAAGAGTAGACCGTGGAACCCTGCTCTTCTGCAGCCAAGCTGAGGGGCAGGATGCGTGTGGGACAGTGGTAGAGAAGCAGGGGATAGACTCATAGGCTGCAACAAAGGTGACTCTGTCCCTGGACACTGCCTCCGTACTTTCTCCTTGCTTCACTGGCCACAGCATCTCCCTCCAGCCCTCGCTATGTGCCTCTGCCATCTTCACCCATCATGGAGCAGAGGTGAGGAGAGGCAGCCTGGGAATATGGAGACCAGTGAAGGACCAGGCCTGGAGAGCACAGGGTCCTACCTGGGCATCCAGCAGAGGAGCCCCTAAAGGCCAGGAGCACCCCAAGAGGAGGGAGGGCAGCCAGCCTCCATTGACGGCGAGCCTCCAGCCCTCTCCTACTTTGATCACCATTTCTCTCCAGGCTTTCTGCCTCCGAGATGTGGCACCATAGTGCGGTGCCCTGTGGCTTCACCGCCCTACTTCCACCTCCGCCCAGCCTGTAATGTTTATATAAGCAGCCTCAAGGACCAAGAACCATCTGCGAAAGGACACACACAGGAAATTCATAAAAGAAATCTGAATGGATAAAACCATGAAAAAAAGTATGCTTCATTAGTAATTAAAGAAAGGCAAATAGAGCTGGAAGCATTTTTCCCTTAGCAAACCATAACAGAAAAAAATAAGACCCAATATTGGCAAAGAGACTACTGAAAAAACATTCCCATACATTGCGTGTGGGAGTATACATCGGTGCAGGCTTCCTGGATGACAGTTGGGTGATATGTGTCATGTGGCCTAAAAGCCTCCATGTCATTTGACCTACGAATTCTATCTTTGGGAATTTATCCTAAGAAAATACTTAAGGATTTAGTTAGTGATAAGATGTTCATCCCAGCATTGCAATGGAGAAAAATGGGAAGCAATGGTTTGGTTGGGAATTTATTCCTTTTCTGCTGTAACGAAAGTTTGCAATAGGGGATTGCTTAAGTAAATTATTGTATCTCCATCCAGATGGTGGAGTACCGCGCAGACATTAAAAGTCATGTAAAAGAACATCTGACTGAAAGAAAAATGCTCCTTGAATATTAAAAGGTTGTAAAAATAGTGCATGTTATGTGATTTCAATTTTGTTTTTTAAAATATGGGTGTATGCTTGTATACGTAGAGCAGATAAAAAAGACGGAAGGCATACTAAAAAATGTTGAGTGGTTATCTTTGTATGGTGGAACAAAGTCACTGTAATTTTCATCTTTGGTTTTTCTGTAATTTCCAAATTTTCCACATTTTGTATTTCATATAATATAATTTAAGAGATCAGTGTTATTATTTAAACCTTTGGAGAGGTGGGGGTAGAAGAATGAAGGGAAGACCTCAGCTTTTTGGTGAGAAGGTTTGGTTGGGGCACCTCTTGGTTTATGAACTTAATTCTTTGAAGTAGCTGGAATCCTCCCTCTCAGCCTGCAGGAAACAGCTCTGACTTGCTGACTGTCTGCCAGCTGAAGAGGTGGAGTGGAGTAAGGTGGAAGGAAAGCAGTGCAACCTGGGGCTCTTCAGGTGGTGAGGGGCTGGGGGAGGCTCTTCCTCTTAAGGCTGGAGGGTTCTGGAATCCTAACCGCCCTGCTACTAAGAGCAGGACAGGTCTGTTTTTCTCTTCTGACTCTGTCCCAGCCTTGAAGGGACCCTGTGTTACCTTTCCTTGCCCTCGGATTGAAGATATTCTACCCACCCAACGGGTACCAAGCCCTTGGGGAAGGAAGTGCTTTTCAAGACTGGGGGCCAGCGATTCCCTTTTGCGTCCTCTTCCTAATGAGGCTCCTCCGTAGGGCCGAAAACAATGCTGGGGGTCGGGGCGGGGCCCAGTGGGTCGCTTCTCCAACATGGGGTCTCCTGGGGGTTGTGGGGGAGGGGGAGCAGAACTGCTGGAATTACAGGTTTGCCGGGATATGGTAAAGGCGTGGAAACCTCAGGAGGCCGAAGGGGTGGCTCCAAGAAAGTGGGGCACCCCGTCCCCACCACGGACGCGGGGAGGGAAGTGGGGGCGGCGGCCAGGCTCGGGCAGGTACGAGTGGGCTGCGCTAGCCTCTGCCTTGCAGGGTGTGGCGGTGGGTGGTGATGACGCTCAGCAGGTGAAAGTCGCGGGAGCCGGGAAGAGGTCAAGGTTCGTGGGTGGGGCCCGGGAGTGTCAGTTGAGGTTAGACTGGAGACCCAGGTCTGCAACTCCAGCGCTTCAGGACGCTTGGAGCTGGGGAGGACCCCTATTGGCGAACATCCCGGAGGCCCCCCGAGCTCCAGGGCATGGTCTACTGCCCGGAGCCCCCGAACCGCTCCCCCGGCTGGAGCAAGACGCAATCGGTGGCCAAGGCTCCGGGGGCGGCGGCCCCGCGGCTGCTCCAATCACCGCCCAGGCGAGGGACTGGGCGTGGACGAACGGGGAAAAGTTCCTGCTGATCCCAAAGGCGCGGCGGGGAGGGGAGCCGGGGCCCCAGCCCTGCCGGGAAACGGGTTCCCAGTCCCGGCCGAGAGCGCGGGCGCCGAGGGGACCGACCCGGACTCCCCGCAACCCCCCAACCGCCAGGCCATGGCGCCCACGGGGCTCCTGGTGGCCGGCGCCTCCTTCCTCGCGTTCCGGGGGCTGCACTGGGGGTTGCGGCGGCTGCCCACGCCGGAATCGGCCGCTCGGGACCGCTGGCAGTGGTGGAACCTCTGCGTCTCCCTGGCGCACAGCCTGCTCTCGGGGACCGGGGCGCTGCTCGGGTGCGGGCTTGGGGGCTCGAGGCGCACGGGGCGAGGGCGAGGGGTGGGAGGCTGAGGCCGGGAGACCCGCCGGGCGTCTCCAGAGCTGAGACTGGGGTGGGGGTGCGCACAGGGAGACTGCGGCCGGGGCCTCGAGAGGCTGACCATGCCCCCCCCCATGTCCCCACCCCATGCCCCCAGCCTGTCACTGTACCCTCAGATGGCCGCCGACCCCATCCATGGCCACCCGCGCTGGGCTCTGGTGCTGGTGGCTGTGTCTGTGGGTGAGTCTGCAGGGAAGGCTGGGCCGGTGGTGGGGATGGGGCGGGGGGCAGGTTCTGCTGTCCTTCCAGGTCCATTCCCCGCCCCCATGGGGGTTAAACGTTCCTGAAGGCTTTACCAAGGGAAAACTAAGAACTGGGAGAGGGGCGGGGCGGGGGGGCTGGAAATCCTCTCTAAGCTGCCCGGGCTCTGGAGCAGCCTAACCCCTACCCCCATGCCCACAGGTTACTTCCTGGCAGACGGAGCTGACCTGCTGTGGAACCAGACCTTGGGCAAGACCTGGGATCTTCTCTGTCATCATTTGGTGGTGAGACTCTGAGGGCAGAAGCCAGACAGGAAGGGAGGAGGGGAGCCCTGTCCAGCCCGAGGTTCCCAGTCTCTCCTCATTCTTTTTTTTTTTTTTTTTTTTTTTTTTTGAGACGGAGTCTCACTCTGTCACCCAGGCTGGGGTCCAGTGGTTCGGCCTCTGTTCACTGCAACCTTCGCCTCCTGGGTTCAAGCAATTCTCCTGCCTCAGCCTCCCACGTAGCTGGGATTACAGGCACCCGCCACCACGCCCAAGTAATTTTTTGTATTTTTAGTAAAGACGGGGTTTCTCCATGTTGGCCAGGCTGGTCTCGAACTTCTGACCTCAGGTGATCCGCCCACTTCAGCCTTCCAAAGTGCTGGGATTACAAGCATGAGCCACCGCCCCCGGCCCTCTCTTCATTTTGCTGTCCTATAATTTCCCACAGTCTCTGCCCCCAGCTGGTGCTTGGCTCCCAGTCTTAGGCTGAGTTAGGGGGAGGAGGTGGCTGCTGGCCACAGCTGGGGAGTCCAGATACCCACCAGGCCAGGGCACCTACCATGCCAGGGCACTCACCATACAAGGGCACCCACCATGCCAGGGCACCCACCATGTGAGCCTAAGGAGTTTGGGTGCCCCCACAGGTGTCCAGCTGATCACAGAAATGTGGAATATGGAGCTTTTCTGAGAAGGGGGTGTCCTGGTATAGGGTGTGGGTATGGGGCATGAAAGCCCTAGGCCAGGCACGGTGGCTTATGCCTATAATCCCAGCACACTGGGAGGCCGAGGCGGGTGGATCACGAGGTCAGGAGATCGAGACCATCCTGACTAACAGTGAAACCCCGTCTCTACTAAAAATACAAAAATTACCTGGGTGTGGTGGCGCGCACCGGTAGTCCCAGCTACTCTGGAAGCTGAGGCAGGAGAATTGCTTGAACCCAGGAGGCAGAGGTTGCAGTGAGCCAAGATCACACCACTGCACTCCAGCCTGGTGGCAGAGTGAGAGTCTGTCTCGAAAAAAAAAAAAAAAAAAAAAAAAAGCAAGCAAGCCCAGGAATGGGAGGTTAAGGGGGTATTAGGGGGTGAGACAGCCCCTCCCTGGGCCAAGCCTGGTTCCATCTATGGAAGGGTTGTTTCAAGGCTGCTCAGGGCCCCAGGATAAAGGTAAAAGCATAAAGGTCAGGTGTTTGGGGAGCCCCACAGACTGCGTGGAAGCCTCTTTCTTCAGGCCTGGGTTATTGGGACATGATGGCTGGCAGGTCATGGGGTTCCTCTGACCTGTGACCCTGGCTCCCAGGTGGTGAGCTGCCTCAGCACCGCTGTTCTGTCTGGCCACTACGTGGGCTTCTCCATGGTGTCTCTGCTCCTGGAACTGAACTCTGCCTGCTTGCACCTGCGGAAGCTGCTGTTGCTTTCTCGCCAGGCCCCATCCCTGGCCTTCAGCGTGACCAGCTGGGCCTCCTTGGCCACCTTGGCCCTCTTCCGCCTGGTCCCGCTGGGGTGGATGAGTCTGTGGCTGTTCCGGCAGCACCACCAGGTTCCTCTTGCTCTGGTCACCCTGGGTGGAATTGGGCTGGTCACTGTGGGCATCATGAGCATCATATTGGGGATCCGTATTCTGGTCAATGATGTCCTACAGTCTCGACCCCATCCACCCAGCCCTGGCCATGAGAAAACCAGGGGGACCAGGACACGTCGTGACAATGGACCTGTCACCAGCAACAGTTCGACTCTCAGCCTGAAAGACTAGAGAGAAGCCATGGGCCCCTCGCTGGGGGAGGTGGGGCCAGGACAAGGAGATGAGGGTCTTCCATGCACAGTCCCCCATCAGGGTGAGGGCCAGACTTGCTCATCAGAATCTCAGTTTCTCTTCCAGCTAACTCACATCCCTTCCCCTTCCTCGGATCTAAGAAGAAATGCTGATGTTGGATGGGTGGGAACCTGGGTTTCTGTTCACTGAAATCCGTCATCAGATGAGCATCCTTTCCAGCAAATAAACTCAAGAGGTACAGCTAGAGCTATCAGTAAAGGGTGGCAGGAGGCATGCAGCTGGAAGAAACTGCCAGTGGAGACAGAAGCTCTTTGCTTTAACCCAGGGACAGATGGGGGAAGGTGAAGTCCCACTAGGATCAGAGAGATCTGGTATGGGGCGGGTGGGGACAGAGAGAAAAGAGATCTCACCTATAACCAAATTCTGGCAGTGGGAGGAAGGTAGAGGAGGTGCTATCTGTAGCAGCAGAGATGGACGTGATAGTTGCCAAGAGACAGAACCTGGGCCACAGCAATTGCTGCTGATGTTTCTGGTTCTCAAAGCCACACTCCTGTTTTTCTTTTTCTTTTTCTTTTTTTTTATGAGACGGAATCTTACTCTGTCACCCAGGCTGGAGTGTAGTGGCACGATTTCGGCTCACTGCAACCTCAGCCTCCTGGGTTCAAGTGATTGTCCTGCCTTAGCCTCCCGAGTAGCTGTGACTTCAGGCATGCACCACCAAGCCCAGCTAATTTTTGTATTTTTTGGTGGAGAGGAGGTTTCACCATGTTGCCCAGGCTGGTCTCGAACTCCTGACCTCAAGTAATCCACCTGCCTCGGCCTCCCAGAGTGCTGGGATTACAGACGTGAGAACAGGCGCACACTCCTGTTTTTCTCCTTAACCCTGGTCCTGCTGTGTCTAGCCTTTTATTTTTATTTTTATTTTTAGTATCTTTTGACTTTTCTTTTTTCTTTTCTTTTTTTTTTTTTTTTTTTGAGACAAGTTCTTGCTCTGTTGCCCAGGATGGAGTGCAGTGGCTTGATCTTGGCTCACTGCAATCTCTGCCTCCCAGGCTCAAGCAATTCTCCTGCCTCCCACCTCAGCCTCCCAAGTAGCTGGGACTACAGGTGCACGCCACTGCACCAGGCTAATTTTTGTATTTTTTTGTAGAGACCAGGTTTTGCCATGTTGCCCAGGCTGGTCTCAAACTTTTGCACTCAAGTGATCCACCCACCTCAGCCTCCCAAAGTGCTGGGATTACAGACGTGAGCCACCGTACCCGACCCCTTTTGACTTTTCAAAGACAATTCGGATTCTTAGAGGAATGAACACAGGGCTGGTTTGTCTTCTTAGGACGGCACTGAAGTCTAGAATTACAGAAGGAAAGGTGCCCAGTACAGAGTTTTCCCAGGCCCAGGCTTTCATGGAAGAACAAGGGCAGAGGTAGACTGTGTGAGAGAAGGCTGCAGGAGGATAAAGGAATAGCTGGCCCTCTGGCTGGGCGCAGCAGCTCACGCCTGTAATCCCAGCACTTTGGGAGGCCGAGGCGGGAGGATCACCTGAGGTCAGGAGTTCAAGACCAGCCTGGTCAACATGGTGAAACCCTGTCTCTACTAAAAATACAAAATTAGCCGGGCATGGTGGTGCATGCCTGTAATCCCAGCTACTCAGGAGGCTGAGGCAGGAGAATCGCTTGAACCCAGGAGGCAGAGGTTGCAGTGAGCCGAGGTCGTGCCACTGCACTCCAGCCTGGGCAAACAGAGTGAGACTCTTGTCTCTAAAGAAAAAAAAAAAAGGAAGAGCTGGGACTTTTCTGAGATACATTCATAAAGTCTTCTTCCTCCCTGCTGCTTCTGCTGCGTTTTTTTCTGTTGAACAAGACCCCTTCCTTCCCAGAACATCGAGGTGACGGGAAGTGCCCAGCAGATTAAGTCTGCTGTTCCACTAAACAATGGACTGAGAGAGGCAACCCTTAGCCATCCACAGAAAAGCTACATGAGCAAAAGCAAGAGACAGGAAGATTGTCTTCAAAAAAAAACAAAACAAAACAAAAACCTTGCTAAGAAGCGGAGGTACAGAAAGATACGAAGAATGACAGAGACAGACATACATAGATTGAGTGATAGATAGAAAGAGAGAAGGATTATTCACATAGAGGTGACAGAGGCAAAGAAGGATGGAGGGCAAAAGAGACAGGCCCTAGCAGAAATATGGAGAAAGGCTGTCATAGATCCTGAGAGACACCAAAGTCACAGAACTGATAAAAGGGTTATAAACAAAAAGGACCAGAAAAATAGAAATGAAGGCCGACAAGAAGAGACCCCAAGGCTGAAAGGCACAGAGAGTCTAGACAGTGAAATAGAGTGAGTGACAAGGAGAAACACCCAGGCTCAGGAGTGATGGAGGAAATACTGGCAGATAGAGAGATCAGAAGAGCAAGAGGAGAGGTGGGAACAGAGAAGAGCGGGGACGAGTCCGGGGAGCTGAGAAGCAGAAGGCGGAGGAGGCAGTCAGTGGGAAGATTCACTGACAGAAGAGACCAGGAGATATGGGGACTTGGAGGCAGGCAGAAAGACAAAGGACAAACAGCTGCAGCGCAAACCCTAAAGACAGGCTGACAGTAACCGGTCGGCAGAGACTGGTAGGAAGATAAGGACAAGTCAGAATCAGGGGTGTCAACTGAGATGCAAATATAGGCAAAGGAGCTGACAAAGAGAATCACAGAGAGAAAAAAAAGGAGGAGAGCACAGAACAATTTAAATATCCAGGCTGGGCATGGTGGGTCACGCCTGTAATCCCAGCATTTTGGGAGGCCGAGGCAGGCGGATCACGAGGTCAGGAGATGACCATCCTGGCTAACATGGTGAAACACCATCTCTACTAAAAATACAAAAAATTGGCCGGGCGTGGTGGCAGGCGCCCGTAATCCCGGCTACTGAGGAGGCTGAGGCAGGAGAATCGTTTGAACCTGGGAGGCCGAGGTTGTTATAATGAGCCGAGATAGTGCCACTGCAGTCCAGCAGGGGTGACAGAGTGAGACTCCGTCTCAAAAAAAAAAATTGAATATCCAAAGAACAAAGAAGAGGCAGGAACCCAGAAATGAAAAGAGGAGGAAAAATACAGGTGTGAAAAAAAAATGAGAGGGATTGTGAGAAGTCTCCATCATAGAGTCATAAAAACAGGCGCAAAGGATGAAAATACATCGAGACTGAGGAAAACACAGTTGGAAGGAGCTAAACACAAGCAGAAAATAAGAGCAGAGCATTTAAATGTAATTAGATAAAAACCCAAGAGGCAAAGGTATAGATAGTGAGCTAGAGAAACAATGCAGAATTTTGTCAGAGTCTGTACTTCTAGAAGTCATGTTTGCTGGCTGGGCATGGTGGCTCACGCCTGTAATCCCAGCACTTTGGGAGGCCGAGGTAGGAGGAGTGGTTGAGCTCAGGAGTTCAAGACCAGTCTGGGCAACATATTGAGACCTCCTCTCTACAAAAAAAAAAAATTTTCTTTTTTCTTTCTTTTCTTCTTTTTTTTTTTTTTTTTTTGAGACAGTTTCATTCTTGCTGCCCAGGCTGGAATGCAGTGGCACAATCTTGGCTCACTGCAACCTCCACCTCCTGGACTCAAGTGATTCTCCTGCCTCAGCCTCCCTAGTAGCTGGGATTACAGGTACCCACCACCACACTCGGCTAATTTTTGTGTTTTTAGTAGAGACAGGATTTCACCATATTGGCCAGGCTGGTCTCAAACTCCTGACCTCAGGTGATCCGCCCACCTTGGGCTCCCAAACTACTGGGATTATATGCGTGAGCCAACACACCCGGCCAAAAAAAAATTTTTAATTAAAAAAAAAAGTCATATCTGCAAAACTCAATTTGCCATCTTAACTGAATGCCTTGATTAACAAAAATGTTGTCTGCCTTGAGTTTTTAAAGAAAAAGAAATATGACAAACTCATGTGAGGAATCTATTCCTTAAATATCTGTTGAGGTTGATATGAATTGATTCTAAGTCATACACCTTTTCTTTGGCCACTGGTATACATTCATGATGGTTTGAGTGAGTGTCCCTTTTGGTAATACTTGATAGTGTCTATGAGGCCGGGCGTGGTGGCTCACGCCTGTAATCCCAGCACTTTGGGGGACCGAGGCAGGTGAAATCCCATCTCTACTAAAAATAAAAAAAATTAGCCGGGCGTGGTGGCGGGCGCCTGTAGTCCCAGCTACTCAGGAGGCTGAGGCAGGAGAATGGCATGAACCCGGGAGGCGGAGCTTGCAGTGAGCCAAGATCGTGCCACTGCACTCCAGCCTGGGTGACAGAGCAAGACTCCGTCTTAAAAAATAAATAAATAAATAAATAGACAGATAGATAGATAGATAGTGTCTATGAAGGCTGCCCAAGAACTTGACCATTAGGGAAACATGGCTGTTTCTGTGGATTAACTAGTCAAGCCCATACAGGAAGAGTGAGGTCAGCTCCCAGGTGGGGCAGGATGTAGTGGACGCTTGGAAGAATTTGGGACCACACACGAATTGC